>NC_000003.12:83949393-84252424 GCF_000001405.40 Homo sapiens
GGCAAGAATTCCATGAAACATTATTTCCATTCAGTGGTTCACAATGAAATGGTTTAAAACATGAATTTGGTGCCGGGGCGGAGGTGGGGGAAGAAAAAAAATGAGATCTATGACCTGAATTGCACACACAAAGATATCATTTTAATAGAGTGTTAAAAAGCATTTTATTCAATCTCAATATTCCAAATTTGAAAGATAATTAATCTATTTCTGCTATTCATACTTCCCCATAACCCAGTTTAAGCCAGTTCCCATAAGAAATATTAACTCTCATTATTATTGAAAATTGCATTTTTTAAAAATTAACCCATTGATTTGCTAATTATATACCCTATATCTGGAAGATTCTATGATGAGTTTCAGTAGAGAACAGAAGAAAATCTACTGGTGTATTTTAAATTCTGATTATTTTTATCCATTGATATGATGATTACATTTTTAAATTATATTGTTTGATGAATATCATTTTATGGTAAATAAATGTGAATGGTAAAATTGTAGACATATTGCTTCTTTTAAAACAAATACACAGGAAAAAATAATAATCTTCAAAGCAGCAGTCACTCTGAAAAGCTTTTAATCCAATGATATCCTAGTCATTTATGGAGATTGTATTTGAATTATTTATTTATTTATTGGTTTAAAGGTTCTGAGTGTGGTGCTATTATTTTTCCTTTGGAGGTGAATCTGATTTTTGAAAATAAAAATCCAGGATTTGAATAAGTATATGGTAAAAATAAATGATGCAAAGTATACAAACAAGTACTCTTGGAAATAACACTGTTCAGTATCCAGTAGGAGTGACGTTTGGGTCTACGACTAGAAATAAAAGTTATATACCTTTAAACAACTTAAATAAGCTTTCAGGCTAGGCTTTTTTTCTGAGCATGAAGACAATTTATATAAATTTTGTCTTCTGTTCTTAAAGGATAATTTAAAAATATTAAATTACCTACGGCATGTAAGACAAATTGTATTTTCATATCAACAAGTTAGATATGAAAATATTCTTTTAAAGACAAAAACTATAAATCTGTGTACATCAATGTAACAAACTATCTATAGAGGAAATAGATAATCTGAGCAGTTCTATATCTATTTAAAAATTGAATTCAGCCCAGGCACAGTGGCTCACGCCTGTAATCTCAGCACTTTGGGAGGCTGAGGCGGGTGGATCACGAGGTCAGGAGTTCAAGACCAGCCTGGCCAAGATTGTGAAACCTCGTCTCTACTAAAAATACAAAAATTAGCCGGGTGTGGTGGCGGACGCGTGTAATCCCAGCTACTCAGAAGGCTGAGGCAGAGAACTGCTTGAACCTGGGAGGCTGAGGCTGCAGTGAGCCGAGATCAAGACACTGCAGTCTAGCCTGGGTGACAGAGTGAGACTCCAAAAAAAAAAGAATTCATAGTTAAAAATATCCTACTTCAGTTTAAGAAAAATATAGTTCAAATTCCACCCAATTTTTTTTTCTTTTTTTTTAGCAAATGAGAGGTGGTAACAATTCCCAATCATTTTATGAGACTAGCACTGTTACCAAAGAACAGGCAAAGACATTGAAAAAAAAAAAGAAAAACACAGACCAATGTCTTCTATGAGTACAGACCCTCAAAAACTTAAAATTTCAGCAAGTTGAATCTAGTAATAAAAAAGTGTGATCCATGACAGGGTTGAGTTTATTCTCAAAATGCACAATTAGTATAAAAATGAAAAATCATTCAATATAATTTACACCATTAATGCGTTGAAAAATACAATTTGAACACCTCTATAGATGAAGGAGCGCATCTGAAAGAATAATTCAACACACATTCAGCATAAAATCTGCAACAAACTAAAAGTTGAATGAAAATTTCTCAACTTGAAAAAGCATAATTATGAAACCTAGAGCTAACCTTATATTAAACAACACAGACCTGAAGGTTTTATACAAATATAAAGAACAGGGAAAAAATATTTGTTCACTACTTTTAATTAACATTATACTGTGCATCTTAGTACAATAAGAACATAAAAAAATTGAGTACTGGATAAAGATAAAGAAATAAATTTGTTCCTTTTAGTAAAGGGCATAATCATGCACGTAGAAAGATTGAAGGAATCCATAGAAAAGCTTCTAGAACTCATTAGCAAGTTTAGCAAATTTGTGCAATGTTCCAAAATAAAGTGTAGTTCTATATAACAGAAAATCATTGGAAAATAAAATTAAAATACACTGCAGAATTAAAAAATTTAAATACACTATATATACTATATATACTACATACTATATATACTACATACTATATATACTATATATGCTATATACTATATATTATGTATAGTGTGTGTATATATACAAAAAATGTGTACACATATATATGTATATATATATAAAGTGGCTGCAAATATATTTTTAAAATTGTCACCTAACATTTTTAGTTAGATGATTATGTTAAGAAAACTCTAATAAATCATGAAAAGTAGACTTAAAGCAATGCATTGTATTTTGTATTATATATACTATATATATATATAGTATTATATATATATAGTATATATAGAAACAATATATAGAAACCCGTTAAACCCAACAAGTGGCTTTAAGGAGAACAGAGAGAATGTAGATTGCCTGCAAAGAGGTGGAGCTATATTACGTCAGGGTCAAAATAGAGTGCTCTGGGGAGAGGAAGCCATCCAGACTTGCATGGTAGAAACAAGATAATGGGAAATAAACCAGAAAATTCTGGTCCAAAAGCTATGCTAAATTTTACTGATGACCAAAAAACAAACCAAAAAATACAATTAAACATCCTAGTAGAGGTGATAATGAAGAACAACCATAGTTTAAATGCAGAAAGCCATGAGAACCAAAAGGAACAAAAAGCCACATTTGGAGACTTAAGAAGAATTCCTTGAGAAAATGGAGTCCAAACTCAAATCAAATGGCCTTTCTCTTAAAAGAGAAAGGATGTAAAATTCTTTTGTAAGAAATGAGAATATGGCCTTGTGAGAATTTTGTATTTGAACCATACAGGTGTTGAGTGAGAGAGGAAACAAAAGAGACAGGTTAAATCAATTGGCACAAGGTCATAATGGGCCTTGTGAGCCACATTAATGCACTTGGATTTATCTATAAGCAAAGAGATGACAGTTAAATCCGTCTATTTTTATTCACATGTAACTCATGGAAAATCTTAGGCACAAAATATATTTCCTGAAGTTTATAATTCATAAGAATCAAATGAAAGATCAGGCCATCTTATTTTCTGATGTTCATACCAGAAAACCTAAAAGTGTAGCTCATTGGACAGCTAGAAAAAAACCCATGAATGATAATACTTCTAATTCTGCACCAAAGTGAAATGTCTGCTCTCTTCATATTTTGTAATAATGACACAGCACATTAATTTTAATCTTAATAAAATTAAAAAAAGAAAAGCAACTGTTAGGGGTAGTTATTTCAGGCTAAATATTATCAACCAATCTCAAATTCCGTGATGAGAAGGGATGTAAAATACAGAATAAAAGCATTTTCTCCTTTACATTGAATTTTAATAACTATCATTTATCTTTATTTTCAACTCCTTCCCCAGATATCTTACTACAGCCTTCTAAAGTTTGAAAATGTTTTCTTAAATATTTCTGTCTCTGAAATTTCATGTCAATAATTTTTGATGAATGGAATTAAGTCCATTTTTTTCCTAGATGTATTTTTTTGAAAAAATAATTGTCCTGGTTATAAACATCTGTGTTTTCTGGCAGTGGCCCAAAAATGCCAAGGGAGGTATACAAAATGCTGAGTAGATATTATGATTATATTAATACTATTTTGTATCTGTTTGATTTTATTCAAAAATAACATGCTAGAATTTTTATGTTTATTGGCATTCTTTGTTTCTTTAATTTTTTGTCTACGTATTCAACTATTGCACAGTTATCCATTCCTGATCTCATAACTTTTAATCATTGTTAGACACAGAGTAATGCAGTATGATGATAATTTCCTAACTTTAAATTTCCTGGCTTACTGCATTTCCTTTTATGTTTAAGAACAATAGTATTTTCCTTAATTCAATGCTTCCATTTAAAGAGTTAGAAAAACAGACATTTGTAATCTAGTCTTTTGAGGAACTTCGAACTCAACCTACTTCAAAAATAGCCACTGACTGAGGTCTGTGTGGAGGACCTAATTGGTATGAGTGAAGCACAACAGGAGATAGCAGCTAAATTTGTATGCAAGAGTCAGGATAAGAAGTATGACACTCACAGTGAAAGCACAAAACATCAAGCCAACAGTTCAGGACTAGTCATTCAAATGGACTAAAGGTCAGTTCCTTTTGTATACCTTTCTTACAGAGTTACTTAGAGGTGGGAGATGGAAGAAATGAATTTTTCATGAAATATACTGCCTGAGGAAAAGAAAAAAATAATGTCTATTCCATTGTGTATACCCAGAGCAAAGTGTAAGGCTCGTGGAGTACAAAATGTCATAGGCAAAGCTTGACTCTTTTTTCCATCATACAGTTGGGTAAATGAAGCTTGGCAGTGACTAATAATGCATCAATTTCTCGTGATCATAAATAAACCTGGATTATAAAGAAACATGAGAAAACATCTATCTAAGCCCAGGAAATGATTCAGAATTCCCTGTATGAAGTAAAATCTAGGATGTTTTAATACTCAAGGAAATAACCAGATGTCTGTTTTAATGCTTAGAAAGTTTATAATTTTCTAATTTCTTCTATAAGATAGATAATTAAATTTGAATTTATAAGATACAAATAGAAGATAATTCAAAGAAGCTAATCAATAAATGTGTTCCTCATTTGCTGACCCTGCTTTAAGCAATTTCTGTGAGTCTGATTGTAATTTCTGTGTTCCTCTTAGGTGGGGGAGAAAAAATAAGAGTGGATAAAAGAAAGAAAGAAAACAGAGAAAGGTGGGAAAAAAAAAACAAAGGAAGGAAGAGAGAAAAGAGAATGAGAGGAAGAGAAGGAAGGGGAAAAACAAGATTGACTTTACAGTATGAGATATACTATTATATATTGGTAAGCAATTGGAAAAATAAATATATGTAAATATAATGGATTAATTATATTTTAAACAATTACATTTAAATGTTACATATGTTTAAAATTTTAGAATTATTAATCTGACATAACTGTATATTTCTAGGTGTTATTTAAATAAACATAAATTTGTTCCAATTAACTTTTTGATAGATTAATCTACATTGACTCCTATCTTACATACCCATTTAACATTTTTTAGTTTTTTCTTAAATCCTAATGTAAATGAACTCTTCTGTGAGTTGCTAGATTTTCTCAAATACTAAACATTTTTATTCCTTTTTCTTCTTTCTTTCTATCTCTTCCCTCTTCTGTCCTTCTTACTTTGTAAATAATTTTTCTTCTTCATTCCTTTTTATTCTTTCACTTAATTATTTTTCTGTCTTTCTTATTTTCTTTCTTTCTTCTGATTACATGCAAAAGTGTACTTCTAGATCACCAGGCAAGATTTCAAATTTTCCAATTGGAGATCCTGGTAGAATTTTTGCTTACAAGTTTTGTAAGCAATAATCTATATTAACAAAATGAAAAAGAGGTAAAATGATTAAAATGTCTACATAATTGCAGATAATTAAATACATAAATGAAGTTAATAGAAAAATAATTTCAAATAAAGAGCAGGTAAATTAAACATCACCTGTTTTTTACTAATTGCTGTTGATTTTATTACCTAAAAAAGATGAGGAGCTGTAAACTTTGTTATTTTAGGGAGAACAATTGCCATGAATATAGGACACAGCTCTTTCATCTGAATTTGAATACTTATTTATTTTTCTTTTTAAATTAGAGACACTGTCTTGCTATGTTTCCCAGGCTGGACTCAAACTCCTGGGCTCAGGCTCCTGTCTTAGACTCTGTAGTAGCTAGGACTACAGGTGTTCACCACTGTACCCAGATTGTGGATTTAAATCTTATTTGAAGGAATTGCTTTAAGGATATAAGGTTAGGTTCTGTCCCAGGTAAATTCGACAATCTTACCATGAAAACAACAAACAAATATCCTGAGTTGGAGGTAGTGAAAAAGTTATGACCACCAAATATCAAATTATTATAATTAAAACAGGAACATGATATCAGATTACAGCAAATTTGTTTCACTGTCAACCTTGTACCAGCCAAGAATGCAAAGGTACAGTTTTTGCATATTCTACAGCACCTGAGCCAGAAATTCTCCTAAGAGGTTTCTATACATATATTCAGTCCATTTAATTGTAAAGAATGAAATCTGAAGAAAATTACCTCAGTCTTAGAGTATAATTTACTTTGCACATATAGAGAAGTTATAAAGTCCCTGAATTTATGACATCGAAGGCGAGAAGCTCATTTTTACCACCATTTCCCATTTCAAAATAGGTAATTACAATCGAAGTCCCCACTTTCCACTTTGTGTAATGTATATATCTCACCCATTCTGCCTTCTAGCTGATGGATCTATAGGGAACACATTATGAAATATAAAATTGGATGCAGTTTTCCTATGAAGTTATAATTTTACTTCTATATAGAAAAAATAAATATGTGTGTGGTACTGTTATCCCACTTGTGCTGAGCAACTAATGTTAAAAATCTCGAGCATACAAAATTGGTTAAATCAGTGATTTGCTAGTTTTCTTTTAACGTTTCTCTATGTCTAAAGTACTTTTTGTACTAGCTATATTCTTGATAATTTAAAAGTAGATATTAGGACTCTTCTAAAAAATATTGTCTTTTAAGAGTTTCTGTGGGTTAGAAACTTTTTTCTTGCTTTCTTATAATTCTTGAAAAAACATTAAACAATTTATCTCATAGAGTACTTTTATGAAACTAAAATTTTATGATTTTTATTTTTAAGGAAATGATTAACTTTATTGGTTAGACTACCATATTTCCTCTATAAGTCTATTACCTACATGAATACAAGGATCCTGCCTCCTTCTCTCTATCTCAGATCCACTGACAGCACCTCGCATAGAGTAGGGGCATCCATTCATAGAACACAAGAATACAGTGGTACTCTACCTGTTTATATGTTTTCCTTTGTACCCTCAACAGCGAATAAGAATACAACTATTTAGCGCACTTAATTTTGTGAGTGAGTTCATGAAATGCAACCTTTCATTCCCTTGTGTGTCTGTGTTGCTGGGAGACCTAGGTTATTGCCTACAATTTGTTTTTGTTCTGAATAAAGCTGCAGAAACCAAATCCAACAACTTTTGGCAAGGAAGCTTCCTTTTATCATGCACCTCCCTCCCTTGGGACTTGGAGAGTCTTCTCTTCTTGGAAGGCCGATGCATTTGCAATTCTCTACAACTACTGTAGTCCCATGAGAAATGCTATTTTCCCAAATTTCAACAAAAAATTTGGATTGACATTTTATTTATTGACATTGACATTATTTTACACTTCTTCCAACTCTCCAGAAAATAAGAACCACTTGATGGTAGCAGTCCCACTATCACTGCTGTTCTGTAAATAACTCTTTACAATAATTAACACAACTTAATCTGACTTTATCTGACATATCTTATTTTTAGCTTTCTACTATAATATTTATTTTGGATTTATCTGAGTATTTATTTGAAAAAAAATCCTCAGTATGAAACATGGCTTAATGATTCCAGATATCTCATCATCAAAACTAACTCATGGAACTTTATTCTTAACCTTTCAATATTTCACAGTTTTATTATAAAAGTAATAGTTCTGCTATTACAAGTAATGGTACTTTTTATTAATAAATTACTCTACACATGTGCTGCTAAATTTCTGCAACCCTAATTTATTTAGAACCTCTTTTTTCTTTCTCTCATGCTACAGAGATAAAAAAAAAAGTTATTGATATGTGGGATTTCCCTAGTTAATACTTGAAACATTTTGGAAACATTTTTAAAAAAATTATAGCATCATACAGTATAATTTCTTTACTAATGTACATATATCCCCAATCCCTACACCAGGAATTGGCAAATGTTTTCTGTCAAGGGCTAGATAGTAAATATTTTAGACTTGCAGGACATACAATCTCTGCCACAACTACAACTCAGCCTTTGGAGCCTGGAAACAGCTACAAACTGTACATAAATGATCATGGTTGTTTACTACTATTTCTGGACACTTGTATTAGTTTGCTATTACTGCCATAACAAAATACCATATACTGTGTGGTTTAAACACAGAAATTTATTGTCTCACAGTTTTGGAGGCTAGAAGTCCAAAATAAAGGCGTCAGCAGCAGGGTGGTTTCTTCTGAGGCTTCTCTCCTTGGCTGTCAGGTGTGACTGCTTTTACTCTATGTCCTCATATGGTCTTTCTTTTATGTCCACAGATGTGTGGTGGCATCTCTTTGTATGTCCTAATTTTTTATTATAAAGACATCAGTCAGATTGGATTAGGGCCCATTCTAAGGCTTCATTTTAACTTAATCACCTTTGAAAGGCCCTTTCTCCAAATACAAGCACACTCTATGGTACGGGGTTTAGAGCTTCAACACATACCTTATGGAGAAACAACATTCAGCTCCGAACAACACTGATACTTGTTACCACTTAATTTGATGCAGACATATACCAATTAAATGCAAACCTTCTACTTATGAAGATATTCATATGATATTCCAGAATTACAAAGCTGTATCTACTTTAAATATTTACTACTTTTTATATAGAATGATATACTTTTCAAGACATTGGCCATAACATTCTTTCCATTTATATATATATATATTTATCATGTTGTGCTATAAGGATTCAACAATAATTAAAATATGATATCAGCTTTCTAAGTAGGAGGAACCGCCACAAACGTATGTACTTTAATATCATAAGTGCAAATATAGATCTATAAAATGTTAAGATGCACATCAGAAACACATAAACTGTAGGTCAGATCTGTGGAAAGTTGACTGAAGAAGTAACATTTGAGAAAAACTTTAAAATAAAAAGTATTCTGGTTCATCATGACAAAATGTACATACACGTTCATGTCTCTTGCCATTAACATTTCATGAGAAATTAAAAATAAAAAAATGTGATTAAACCAGTATTGAAAATAAAAGAAGCATGCTATAACTCCAAGGCAAAAAATATTCTCTGGAAGATACAATGCAAATGCCTGAGAAATCCACGACGCCAAGCCAGGAAAGCCCTGAAAAATGTAATGGCAAACTAAAAAACATTGTTGAAAGAAATGAAAGAAGACATAAATAAAAAAAAAAGACATCCCATATTCAAAAATCATGACAGACTTTATTCTTTAGATGACAATATTCTCCAAATTGATCTATAAATTCAACAAAATCCCTGTCAAAATCCTAGCTAGACTTTTTTTTTGGCAGAAATTGTTAAGCTGATCTGAAAATACGTAGGTACAATGGATTCAAAATAGTCAAAGAAATCTTGAAAAAGAACAATGTTAGAAACTGACAATTTCCAATTCCAAAATTTATCACAAAGCTACTGTTATCAACACAACATGATATTGGAATAAAGGTAGATGTATAGATCAATGGAATGAAATTGAGATCCCAGAAATTAATTAATCATACCATTAATTAATTAGATTAGCAATTAATTAATTTCAGTAACCTAATTAATTAGATTAATGGTTAATTGATTTTCACAAAGGTGCCAAGATAATCCAATGAAAAAGGAATGATGCATGGACACCTGAATAACCATGTGCAACACAATAATGTTGACATGTCCCTTATATCCTGTAAAAAATTAATTCTAAATGGATCATCGATATAATTATAAGAACTAAAACTGTAAAACTCTTGGAAGAATAAATAGGAGTAAATCATTATGATTTTGGTTTAGGGTATATTTTATACTACACCAAAAGCATAAATGACAATGGGTAAACAGATCATTGTACTTCATCAACATTTTTTTTTGAAATTGATAAATTTTACTGCTGAGTGATGGAAAGAGACAAAAATGACAGAAACATAATTCATAGCTGCATTCCTTACTGTAAAGCCAAGCACGAATAGCTCTATTGCTTAGAATCATTGCATTTAAACATAGCAAGATCACATCTTTCATAGTCTTTTTATGGATGATAATAAGGCCACCATCAGGAAAGTGAAAGACTATGCATGCAATGCGAGAACACATTTGCAAATAGTATATCAGATAAGGAACTTGTGCCCAGAATATATAAAGAATTCTTAAAACTCAATATTAAAAATTAAAAATAAATTTGCCTGATTTCAAAGGGAGCAAGAATGCAAAGGATGTATTTCAACAGCTTTATTGATATATAATTACATGCTATAAAATTAACCCAAAGTATAAAACTCAGTGGTTTTTAATATATACACAGATACGTGCAAGCATTACACAATTTTATAACATTTTCATCACCTCAAAATAAAACCCTGTAACCTTAGCTTTTAGCTCCTAATCCTCTATGTATGTATATTCTTAAGAAACAAAAGTATGTATATTCTCAAGAATATACATATTCCTCAAAGTATGTATGTTCTTAAGAAACAAAAAACATAAGTTGATCTTAGTAATTTTACTATGTTATTCAAATTTTGAATTTATTCAGATATATAAATATATATGTATGTATATATACAAATAATATTAAACTGATATATATAAATAACAAAACATAACATCCAAATGGCATTACTTGTAATCAATATTTTGAAATATAATAACATAAAATTCTTAAAAAATGAACGAACTTTGTTATGTTGATTGGAAATGTAAACATAAAGGCAGAATTATTTTAACTAAAATATATTTCCTAGAGCTGTTCATTGATATGTGCAAGAACAATGGTACCTCAACAGCAATGAACAAACTGGGACCTAGTTGATTTTTTAAAATCTAATTTCAAATTTATTTTAGATTTAGGGAGTACACGTGAAGATTTGTTACATGAATGTATGGCATGATGTTGAGGTTTGGGGTACAGATTCTGTCATCCAGGTAGAGAGCATAATACCTAATAAGTAGTTTTTCAATCTACGTCCCTCTCCCTCTCTCCCTCCTCTAGTATTCTGCTGTGGCTATTGTTACCATCTTTATGTCCATGTGTACTCACTGTTTAGCTCCCACTTGTAAGTCAGAACATGTGGTATTTGGTTTTCTATTGCTGAGTTTGATTTGATTTGACTCTCGGCCTGAACATCATTAATGTATACCAAGGCTACTGATTTTTCTATGTTGATTTTGTATCCTGAAACATTACTGAAGTCATTTATGTTTTAGGAGCTTTTTGGTGGAGTTTTTAGAGTTTTATGAGTATAGGATCATATTGTCAATGAATAGAGAAAATGTTATTTCAGTAGTTTTATATTTGATAATGTGAATACAGGATAATGTACCTTTTAAAAATAGACACATGCTGAAGTATTAGTAAAAAATAGACACATGCTGAAGTATTATGATGTTAGTAATATTTTTAAAATCATTTTCTAACGAGTTCCAAATAAATAGTAAGTTACATATGTAATTGTTATGCTATTTATCTCTGTACATGTATGTATATATTTGTATCTAACACTACTACAGATAAAAATACATAAACATGATAAATGTTAATAATTATTGAATATTACATTTATTATATTCTTTCCATGATTCTTGCTTGTTATTTTGCATAATAAATATTTTTGAGCAAATATTGGCAATTTAGTAAGTCATAAGAGTAGCTGTACAATTTTTTAAAATACAAATGAAACAGAGCACTTATTTATATTGCAGTGAATCTAGCATTAATAATAAAAAGAGTAGAAATTTATTAATTAAAATACAAGTTTTATATAAGAGATGCTTTCAACAGAGAAAAATTTTAAAGTGTTATTAAGGTTTTTCAAAGTATGGATATTCACTGGAAATATTTCCTACTCCAAGAGTCAACTGAGGCAGTAAACAGAGTAAGTGACTACATAAGGAAGTAGGAAGTTAGATCAAATTATATTTCTGACAACATGGCATGAAAATGCTTGTAAAAGACTGTGGCCACTTGCCTTTTCTTTCCACCTTTGTTCTACTATTTTTAAACTGTAGATCTTATCATCTTTTCTGAAAAATATAATATTAAAATGTTAAATCTTATTTGTTGCTTTAAAAAGTAAATGGGCTAAGTTGTTTTTTAAAGAGAGACAGACTGTTTTAAGAACTTCTGCACAGCAAAATAAACTATCATCAGAGTGAACAGGCAACCCACAGAATGGGATAAAAGTTTTGCAATCTATTCATCTGACAAACAGCTAATATCTAGAATCTACAAAGATCTTAATCAAATTTACAAGAAAAGAAACAAACAACCCCATCAAGAAGTGGGCAAAGGATATGAACAGACACTTCTCAAAAGATGACTTTATGCCACCAACAAACATTTGAAAAAAAAGTTCATTATCACTGATTATCAGAGAAATGCAAATCAAAACCACAATGAGATACCACCTCATGCCAGTTAGAATGGCAATCATTAAAATATCAGGAAACAACAAATGCTGGAGAGGATGTGGAGAAATAGGAACACTTTTACACTATTGGTGGGAGTGTCAATTAGTTCAACCATTGTGGAAGACAGTGTGGCGATTCCTTAAGGATCTAGAACCAGAAATACTATTTGACTCAACAATTCCATTATTGGGTATATACCCAAAGGATTATAAATCATTTTCCTATAAAGACATATGCACACCTATGTTTATTGCGGCACTGTTCACAATAGCAAAGACTTGGAACCAATCCAAATGCCCATCAATGATAGACTGGATAAAGAAAATGTAGCACATATACACCATGGAATACTATGAAGCCATAAAAAATGATGAGTTCATGTCCTTTTCAGGGACATGGATGAAGCTAGAAACCATCATTCTCAGCAAACTAACACAGGAACAGAAAACCAAACACCGCATGTTCTCATAAGTGGGAGTTGAACAATGAGAACACATGGACACCAGGAGGGGAACATCATACACTGGGGCCTGAGTGGGGGTCGGGGGCACGGGGAGGGATAACATCAGGAGAAATGCCTAATGTAGATGACGGGTTGATGGGTGCAGCAAACCACCATGGCATGTGTATACCTATGTAACAAACCTGCACGTTCTGCACCTGTATCCTAGAACTTAAAGTATAATAATAAAAAAAAGAACTTCATGAAGGCTGTTTACTAGAAATGTGTATAAACAATATGATGATGCTGCAAATAACAAAGACTCCCCTCTTTATTTGGGCTTATTAATATTCTATTGTGCATATATAGCACTATTTTTCATTCATTCATTTACTAACTGATAAATATGCAAGTTGATTCCACATCTTGGCTATTGTGAATACCAATTCAATAAACAGGGTGGGTACAGATACCTTTTTAACATACTGATATCATATTTTTTTGAATATGTGTCCTGAAATAGGATTGCTGTATCATATGGTAGTGATTCTTTGAAGTTTTTGAGGAACCTTTATACAGTTTTCCATAATGGATGTGCTAACTACCAACAGTTCACAAAGCTTCCTTTTTCTCCTTATTGTCTCCAACACATGTTATCATTTGTCTTTTTGATAACAGCAATTTTAACAAGTGGGAGGTGGTATTTCATTGCAGTTTTCACTTGCATTTCCCTGATGAATAGAAATGTTGAGCATTTATTCATATATTTGTTGGCTATTTAAATATTTTCTTTTGAGCAATGTCTATTCAGGTGTTTTGCCCATTTATTACATTTATTATTTCTATTTTTTCTATTTAGTTATTTCAGTTCCTTATATATTTCGGATATTAAATCCTTATGAGATGTATGGTTTGCAAAAATTTTCTCTCATTACATAGGAGGCTCTTTACTCTGTTAATGTTTCCTTTGCTGTCCTTCTTAGTTTGATATAATCTGATTTATCTGTATTTGTTTTTGTTGTCTGTCTTTCAGGGGTCATAGCCAAAACTTCATTGCCTAGACCAAAGCCAAGATATATGTCCCTTATGATTTTTTTCTGGTGGTTTTAGAGTTTCAGGTCTTTTGTTTAAGTCTTTAATTGTTTTTGAGTTGATTTTTTAATATGGTGTGAGATAAAGATCCATTTTTATTCTTCCCAATGTGAATATTCAGGTTTTCCAACATCATTTATTGAGGAACTTGTCCTTTCCTAATTTTATGTCCTTGTTACTTTTGCTGAAGATTGATTGACTGTAAATATTTGGATTTATTTATGACTCTCTTTATTCCATTGCCTTATATATCTGTTTTTATGCCAGTACCATGCTGCTTTGATTACTATAGCTTTGAAGTATGATTTGAAATCAGGTAGTGTGATGCCTCCAGCTTTATTCTTTTTGTCCAAAATCGTTTTGGATACTCCAGGTCTTTTGTGGTTTTGTGCAGATTTTAGAATTCTTTTTCTGTTTCTATGAAAATTTCATTGTAACTTTGTCATTGGGATTGCATTAAATATGCAGGTTGTTTTGGGTAGTATGGACATTTTATCAGTATTAATTCTTCCAATTCATGCACATGGGATGTCTTTCCATTTGTTTGTGTCTCCGTTAATTTCTTTCATCAATGATTTTCAGTTTTCATTGCACAGATGCTTCATCTCCTTGGTTAAATTTATTTCTTAAGTGTTTTGGGTTTTGTTGGTGCTATTGTAAGTAAGATTGCTTTCTTGATTTTTTGGATAGTTTGCTCTTAGTGTATAAAACTGCTATTAATTTTTATGTGTTGATTTTATGTGCTTTGTACTGAATTTATTTATTTGTTTTAATAGTTTTTTGATGGAGTCTTTAGGGTTTTCTATATATAAATTCATGTCATCTACAAACAGAGATGATTTTACTTCTCTCAAACCTGAATACTTTTTATCTCTGTTACCTACCTCCTATGGCTAGGAATTACAGTACTATATTGAATAGAAATGGCTTGAGTGGGCATCCTTGTCTTGCTTCTAATCTTAGAGTATAGGTTTATAGCTTTTCACTGTGCAATACCATATTAGCTGTTTTTTTTTATTACTATACTTTAAGTTTTAGGGTACATGTGCACAATGTGCAGGTTAGTTACATATGTATACATGTGCCATGCTGGTGTGCTGCACCCATTAACTCGTCATTTAGCATTAGGTATATCTCCTAATGCTATCCCTCCCCCCTCCCCCCACCCCACAACAGTCCCCAGAGTGTGATGTTCCCCTTCCTGTGTCCATGTGTTCTCATTGTTCAATTCCCACCTATGAGTGTGATATTCCCCTTCCTGTGTCCATGTGTTCTCATTGTTCAATTCCCACCTATGAGTGAGAACATGCAGTGTTTGGTTTTTTGTTCTTGCAATAGTTTACTGAGAATGATGATTTCCAATTTCATCCATGTCCCTACAAAGGACATGAACTCATCATTTTTTATGGCTGCATAGTATTCCATGGTGTATATGTGCCACATTTTCTTAATCCAGTCTGTCATTGTTGGACATTTGGGTTGGTTCCAAGTCTTTGCTATTGTGAATAGTGCCGCAATCAACATACGTGTGCATGTGTCTTTATAGCAGCATGATTTATAGTCCTTTGGGTATATACCCAGTAATGGGATGGCTGGGTCAAATGGTATTTCTAGTTCTAGATCCCTGAGGAATCACCACACTGACTTCCACAATGGTTGAACTAGTTGACAGTCCCACCAACAGTGTAAAAGTGTTCCTGTTTCTCCACATCCTCTCCAGCACCTGTTGTTTCCTGACTTTTTAATGATTGCCATTCTAACTGGTGTGAGATGGCATCTCATTGTGGTTTTGATTTGCATTTCTCTGATGGCCAGTGATGATGAGCATTTTCTCATGTGTCTTTTGGCTGCATAAATGTCTTCTTTTGAGAAGTGTCTGTTCATATCCTTCGCCCACTTTTTGATGGGGTTGTTTGTTTTTTTCTAGTAAATTTGTTTGAGTTCATTGTAGATTCTGGATATTAGCCCTTTGTCAGATGAGTAGGTTGTGAAAATTTTCTCCCATTTTGTGGGTTGCCTGTTCACTCTGATGGTAGTTTCTTTTGCTGTGCAGAAGCTCTTTAGTTTAATTAAATCCCATTTGTCAATTTTGGCTTTTGTTGCCACTGCTTTTGGTTTTAGACATGAAGTCCTTGCCCATGCCTGTGTCCTGAATGGTAATGCCTAGGTTTTCTTCTAGGGTTTTTATGGTTTTAGGTCTAATGTTTAAGTCTTTATCCATCTTGAATTGATTTTTGTATAAGGTGTAAGGAAGGGATCCGTTTCAGTTTTCTACACATGGCTAGCCAGTTTTCCCAGCATCATTTATTAAATAGGGAATCCTTTCCCCATTGCTTGTTTTTCGTATTAGCTGTTAACTTGTCATTTATGGCCTTTATTATATTGAGATATATTTCTTTTATATATCTAATTTGTTAAAAGTTTTTCAAATAAAAAAGTGTTGAATTTTGTCAATTCCTTTTTCTATATCTATTGAGATGATCATATGATTTGTATCCTTAATTTTATTAATGTGATGCATCACATTTATTCCATTCATATGTTTGATTACTCTTGTATACAGGAATAAATCCCACTTGATAATGGTGGATAATTATTTTAATATGTTGTTGAATGTGGTTACCAGTGTTGTGTTGAAGACTTTTGCAGCTATGTTCATCAGAAATATTAGCCTTTAATTTTTTTTTTTTTTGTAGTATCCTTTTCTGGCTTTAGAAGTAGGGTAATGCTGATAATGTAAAATGAGCTTGGAAGTACTGTCTCCTCTTCAATGTTTTGGAAATACTTAAGAAATATTAGTGTTTGTTCTTTTTTGAATGGTTGGTAGAGTTCAGCAGTGAAGCTCTCAGGTCCTGGGCTTCTGTTTTTGGCAGCTTTTGATTACCGATTCACTCTTTACTAGTTATTAGTCTGTCCAGATTTTCTAATTTTTCATGCTTCAGTCTTGGTAAGGTGTATGTTTCTAGGAATGTATCCATTTCTTCTAGGCTATCTAATTTAATGGCGTATTATATGTGTGTTGGGGAGTGTACTATATATACGGTTGTTCACCCTTATCTCCCTTATCTGCCGGGATTATGTTCCAGGCTCCTCAGTGGATGCCTGAGACTGTGGATCATATCAAACCCCATACACTATGTTTTTTTTTTTTCCTATAGAATAGTTGTCAGGGAGCATATACAGTGTGGATACACTGCATAAAGTTATCATTCATGACCCAGGAAGGAGAGGATGGGATAGTATGAGATTTTACTAGCTACTCAAATTGGTGCTCAATTTGAAACTTATAAATTGTTTATTTCTGAAAATTTTTATTTAATATTTTAAAATCATAGTTGACCACATGCCTTATTCTCTTTAGTGTTGATATACCAGAACACTTGAGGCTAGGTAAATTATAAATAAAAGGGATCTACTTGGTTCACAATTCTGGTGGCTGTAAAATCCAAGAGAATGGCACCAGTATCTGTTTTGCTTCCAATACAAGCCTCATCCTGCATCACAACATGCAAGAGAAGCAGAAGGGGAATTGTTGTGTGCAAACAGACCAAACAGGAGAGAGAGTCTGCTTCATAAAAACCCACTGTCAAGGTAACTAATTCAGTTTCAGGAGAGTGAGAACTCATTTACTACTACAAGACTGTTTTAATACCTTCATGAGGGAGGATCCCTCATGATCCAAACACCTCTTAAAGGCTGCACCACTTCCCGACACTGTTAGATTGGCAATTAAATTTCAACATGAGTTTTGGTGGGGAAAAATTGTATGCAAACCATAGCACTGCCAGTAACTGAAGAAACACAGAAAGCAGAACTATAACTAATGGGGGAAAAATACAGACATATACATACACAGTGGAATAGAATACTTCTCAGCCTTAAAAGAGAAGAAAACCTTATCATTTGCAAAAACATAGATAAAACTGGAGGACACTATATTGCATTTTTCTCAGTGAGATAAGCCAGGCAGAGAAAGACAAATACTGCATAATCTCACATATGTGTGGAATTTGAAAAAGTCAGACTCAAGGAAGATGAGAGTAGAACAGTAATTACCGGGGGAAAGGGTAGGGTAGGAGGAAGATCAGAGGAATGGAAAGATGTTGGCTAAAGTGTACTAAGTTTCAGAAAGATAGAATAATTTCTGAAGATCTATTTTGTGCAGGGTGACTATTGTTATTAATAATGCATTATATTCTTGATAATTGCTAAGCAAGTAGGTCTTTAATGTCCTCACCACAAAAAGCATAGCAAGTACATGAAATAATGGATGTTTACTAGCTTCACTGAATCATTTAGAAACATTTACATATATACAAAAACACCATTATACACCCTAAATATATGTAAGTTTTTACAATTATACTTATACCTTAATAAAGCCGGGATGGAGGGAACAATAAAACACTGTGAAAAAAAGTTTGGAAATTGTTATATGGAAAGTTTGTGTTTTGTCAAATTCATACGGCAAAGCCCTCACCCCCAGCAGGATGGTGTTTGAAAGGGGTCCTTGGGAGGTAGATAGGGTTGGATCAGGTTAGAATGTGGGACCTTTATAATGGGACCTTATTAATAAGAAGGAGAGAGAGAGAGAAAGATGACATGGAACCTTGATCTTGAACTTCCCAGTCTCCACAATAGTGAGAAATAAATTTCTATTGTTTAAGCCACTCAGACTATGGTATTTTTTTTAAATGTCAGCTCAACCTAATATAAAAATCAAGAATTGAAAATGTATATAATAGATAAAACTTATGATTAACATTACAAATAAGACAAAGAATGGCATTAGATAATGATACAAGGTAAACATACTAACAGTATCAAACCCTTCAGCAACTAATTACATAAAGTAAACTGTATTAGAAATTCTAAGAGAATTTGATACAAATGAAATTATTGAAGTGAGTGTAATATATCTCTTTAATAATAATAAATAGTAGATAAGGCCGGAGCATAGGGCTTGGAGGCAGGGAAAATAAGGACTTCCTAGAATTAAATCAAACAGAAACACCAGCTATGACAGGAAATATCCTCTTCATTTACATAGGGTGTACAGCGAGTAAATAATGTTGTAACTTTACTTTATTCTCCTCATCTACATAGGGCATACACCAAGTAACCAATGGAAATTTCAGAGGAAATTTAAACCCCAGAAAATTCTGTAACTGGGCTCTTGAGCCACTTGCTGGGGCCTGCTGCCGCCCTGTGGAGTGTGCTTTCGTTTTCAATAAATCTCTGCTTTCGTTCCTTCATGCTTTCCTTGCTTTGTGTGTTCATTTTGTCCAAATCTTTGTTCAAGACGCCAAGAACCTGGACACCCTCCACCGGTAACATATTTTGGCGAGCCAGACAAGAGGTAAGCCCAGAGTTTGGGATTTATTTTTCACCTTTTCCTTTCTGCTCCATACAGTGGAATCTCTCTCTCTCTCTCTTTTCATTTCCAACTCAGGACCCTTGGTGGGCAGTGCCTAAACAGAGACAACTACAGGTTTCTGGCTGTGGCCACTCTCTGGTGAAACTAAGGGGTTTCTGTGTGGAGGTGCCTAACAGCCACCGTCCAGTTTGGGTAAGGGACCTGGATTTTTTTCCCTTTATTTCTTTTTTCTCTCTTTCTTTTTCAGGCTTTTGATGGCTGCTTCCTAGTATTAAATAGCTCCTTAGTAACTGAGCGCAACTGTCCAGGGCCACTCTCTGGTTTACCTGAAGGGCAAGGAGTAAAGGGGGATAGCTACCATGCCTGGAAGGGGGAAGGATTTTTCTGTCTTTTCCAGTTGTTGTCCCTGATCCCTACATGTGGGACAGCTTTTCCAGGGTGAACTCGCATGCATTTCAGGTGACTTAAACATTCTTTTCCTATGCTAAATTCTTCCCTTCCCCTACTCTACTGGCTAGGGACGAAAGAAACCCACCCATCCTCCAGTTCCTGTCATTACAGTTCATGGCTATCACTCTAGTGCAGTGGGAAACATGGAAACACAAGGCCTTATGAAATTATAAGGATGCTAGAAGTCAAGGCCTTCATCCAGGGACAAAAGGAAAGCTCATAGTAGGCCATCACCTCTGGAGGGAAAACATGCAAAGCAGCACCAGTGCCCACCTGAGGTCAAACATATCTGTCCATCTAAGATTGGACTCCAGAGGGGGACACCCCAGGGAATCCTCTGGACCTCAACCTCTCCAAAGGGGATGCCCTTGGTAGAGGTCCCCAGGTCAAGTACTAAGCCCTTCTTAGAATTTTCTCTGCCAGTTGCAATACTGTTTCACCACAATACTATTTGGAATCTGGAGTTTGCTGTTGAATGGGAAAGTGGGATGGAATTGCATGTATCCAGGCTTTTGTGCTGCTGTTCTAAGCAGGGGGCCTGGTTAACATGTCATCCTCTCCTGTGGTACTGTTTGGTCCCAGTGTTAGAGTCTGGGAAGGTTTAACCTTTAAAAATTAAACTGTCAAAGCCCATCTCTACTAAAAAATACAAAAAATTAGCCAGGTGTGGTGGCGGGCACCTCTAGTTCCAGCTACTTGGGAAGCTGAGGCGGGAGAATGCCCTGAACCCAGGAGGTGGAGCTTGCAGTGAGCTGAGATCGTGCCACTGCACTCCAGCCTGGCGGGCAGAGTGAGACTCCGTCTCAAAAACAAAAAACAAAAACAAAAAACAAAAAACAAATTAAACTGTCATGTAAACTGCTTTAGTTTTGTGGTGAGCTTGTATTGCTATCTCATGGCTAGAGTCCCAAGATAAAAGCTATTGAAACTTCACTTGTATGTATACACAATAAACTCATGTCTAGATTTGTTTATTTGTATGTTCACTAATTGTTACATGCTGTGTCTACTGAATTCGCTTATAAGTAAAAGACTTTTCATAAATTAAGTAAATAAGTGTAAGCAATTTTACTTACTGGTCAGGTGCCTAAAGTGAATTTCCTGATTGCACAGGATGTATGGTGATATTAGTGAACTTAAGGATATTGCATTGTGTAACAGGAACAAAATATTTATTATGTGGGTTTTGGGGGGCCCTGGGGAACACTGTAGCCTCCATGATAGATTGAGTAGGATAACAATAGATTATTATGCTACCTTGTATTTTCACCAGGTAAAGAAAGCTTTTTATGGTTCACTAAGGACAATCAACCCCTTCGCAATCTAGAACCAAAAGACTGGATCTTCTGAGAACATCTACTGTAAGAACTATAGTTACACAACAGACTTTGAATTCTCTTGTGAAAGTTAAGGTAGAATTGGCTGAACAGAGGAGTATCTGTGCGGCTGCTGGCATTTGTGGCTTATGGAGAAACACATTAAATGAAGATTACAGAGATTCATTGGCAGGGGATTAACAGAGATTGCTTAATTAAGTGAGTAGGCTCACTATCTAGCTCATTCTTTGATCTATTTGATTTTAGGTGGTTTGGTTTATGGGGACCCGGGGAAAGAAGCATACTCCAAACTCTTAGTATTATCCTCCCGATGGTTATAATAATAGTTGTCCTGTTGTGCTGTATTTTCTGAAAGGTTTTAAATGCTTGCATGCAGCCATCTCTAGAATGTCAAATGGTCTCTCTTCAACTGGAATGACAAGAGCTTAAAGAAACATGTGACCATGAGGAAACCATAAACTATGAATAATGTGTTGAGACCAGAAACCCAAAATGATGGTAACTGAGTGGTGCTAAGGCCCTAAGTTTTGGTCACACTCTCACCTAAGTGAGAACTTGACCAAAAAGGAGGGAAGTTTTTAAAACAAAATTGTGGGAAGTCATTTGTTTTGATTGAGTTCATGCACTCAGCCCCAACAGATCAAACCAAACCAAAATGGAGTTGCTTGTGTTAAGACTATAAGGAAACAGATACATTCTAGAACAGACCATGTTTTGTTTTTCTCCTGCAAATCTCTGTAACAAACATTCCTGACAACATAGGCATCCACTCCCTGAAGTTCCCATTAAGTCTTTTAACTAAATTCACTTCCTCTGGCCTAGAGACCATCAAGCTTCAGATGCTCATGTGACAAGGGTTCCAGCCAGTTCCAGGTGAAGACACCACTCCTAGCCATCAAGGAACTACCCTGTCTCCACTAGACAGAGAAGGGTGAGAGTTCTGTGATCCTCAACAGATAGGGACCATGCCCCAAGCCAGCATAAAGCAATTACAGAAGAAAGACCATTGGTCTCTCCGCCTCCCATATAGATGTATGGGGATCACGCCTTTCACGTGGGGAATGAGGCAGGAGAACAGGGCCTGGAGGCAGGGAACCCTAAGTACTTCTTAAAACTAAATCAAATGGAAACACTTCAGTCATGACAAGAAATATCCCCTTCATTTACATAGGGCATACACCTAGGAAATGACTTTGTAACTTTACTTTATGCTCTTCATTGACATAGGGCTTACAACAAGAAACCAGTGGAAATCTCCAGAGGAAATTTAAACCCCAGAAAATTCTGTAACTCAGCTCTATGCTGGAGCCACTCCCACCCTGTAGAGTGTACTTTCACTTTCAGTAATTTAAACCCCAGAAAATTCTGTAACTCAACTCTATGCTTGAGCCCACTCCCACCCTGTGGAGGGTACTTTCACTTTCAATAATTTAAACCCCAGAAAATTCTGTAACTCAGCTCTATGCTTGAGCCCACTCCCACCCTGTGGAGCGTACCTTCACTTTCCATAAATCTCTGCTTTCGTTGCCTCATTCTTTCCTTGCTTTGTTTGTGCATTTTGTCCAATTCTTTGTCCAAGATGCCAAAAACCTGGACACCCTCCACTGGTAACAATAGATAGGGGGAATATAGAACAATTTAAGTAAAAACCAGTTTAGAAGATGTATAAGAATTTTTTCGTTAAAGACTTAAAAGATGTGCCTTTTTTTATCTGTGTCCAGGGAAAAAAACACAAAAATGGGATATGAACTTTGTCACAAGGAAATCTTGAAATTTCCAAGAAGTGAAACTTTATTGTATGCCTTAAACTTTTAGAAGATATACTAAATCCATAGGTAATATTATAACTAAATTATATAAAGACAGACAAATCCAAAATCTGGTTCTTTGAATGTGTTAAAAAAGATAGAGTAAGAAACAATGTACAGGAAAAACAAGCAAACAACAATGACAAAAAACAAACAAACAAAAACCATCTCTGAATCTTACTGAACAGAAAAGAGGAGAGATGAAATATACACGTTAGTAGTTAGAGGAGAATAAGACCACTCAATAAGTAGAGTTTGAAACAACAGAAGTTTGCTAGGTACAA
Source organism: Homo sapiens (assembly GCF_000001405.40). NCBI lineage: Eukaryota > Metazoa > Chordata > Mammalia > Primates > Hominidae > Homo > Homo sapiens. The sequence goes on from NC_000003.12 coordinate 83,972,642, forward strand.
CCCTATGGTGATAGTTATTTATTGTGTATCTAATTACCCTAAAACTTAGTGACTTAAATCAGCAACATTTTCACTATATCAGTTTCTGTTCCTCAGAAATCCAGGTGTGACTCAGCCGTCTCCCTTGGCTCAGGGCCTTTCTTTCTCAGAGCTGTGATGAAGGTGTCAACTAGGACTGAAATCATATCAAGCCTCAAGTGAGGGAGGATTTTCATCAATGCTCATCACTTGCTGTTAAGATACCTTTCTTCCAAAAAATGCTCACCATCACTGGCCATCAGAGAAATGCAAATAAAAACCACTATGAGATACCATCTCACACCAGTTAGAATGGCAATCATTAAAAAGTCAGGAAACAACAGGTGCTGGAGAGGATGTGGAGAAATAGGAACACTTTGACACTGTTGGTGGGACTGTAAACTAGTTCAACCATTGTGGAAGTCAGTGTGGTGATTCCTCAGGGATCTAGAACTAGAAATACCATTTGACCCAGCCATCCCATTACTGGGTATATACCCAAAGGACTATAAATCATGCTGCTATAAAGACACATGCACACTTATGCTTATTGCAGCACTATTCACAATAGCAAACACTTGGAACCAATCCAAATATCCAACAATGATAGACTGGATTAAGAAAATGTGGCACATATACACCATGGAATACTATGCAGCCATAAAAAATGATGAGTTCATGTCCTTTGTAGGGATATGGATGAAATTGGAAATCATCATTCTCAGTAAACTATTGCAAGGACAAAAAACCAAGCACTGCATGTTCTCACTCATAGGTGGGAATTGAACAATGAGAACACATGGACACAGGAAGGGGAACATCACACTCTGGGGACTGTTGTGGGGTGGGAGGAGGGGGGAGGGGGGAGGCATAGCATTAAGAGATATACCTAATGCTAAATGACGAGTTAATGGGTGCAGCACACCAGCATGGTACATGTATACATATGTAACTAACCTACACATTGTGCACATGTACCCTAAAACTTAAAGTATAATAATAATAAAAAAAAATACCTTCTTCCTAGGTTAGACTACTGCCTCAGCTTCTTGTTGATTGTCATGCAGTGGCCTTACTCTGTTTCCTTCGCCATCAGATTCTCCATGGGGTACCTTACAACATGGATGTTTTCTTCATTAGAATGAGCAACAAGCAAGCAAGGAGAGTTAGAAAGAGAGTGGGAACAAGACCGAGAATAGCCTTTTTTTTTTTTTTTTTTTTTTGATATAGGGTCTCGCCCTGTCTCCCAGGCTGGAGTGCAGTGGCTCCATCATGGCTCACTGCAACCTCCACCTCCCAGGCTCAAGTAATCTTCCTGCCTCAGGCTCCAGGGTATCTAGTACTATAGGCACACACCACCACACTTGGTTAATTTTTTATTTATTTATTTATTTTTGGTAGAGACAGAGTCTCGCGATGTTGCCCAGGCTGGTCTCAAACTCCTGGGCTCAAGTGATCCCCCTGCCTTTATTCCCCAAAGTGCTGGGATTACAGGCATGAGCTACTATGCCCGGCACATAGTCTTTTTTATAAATCTCAGAAGTGACATCTAATCACTTTTGTCTTTTTCCGCTGTTTTTAGCAATGTATTAGGTGTTGGTCACACTCAAGGGCATGTGATTATACCAGAGCATGAATATCAGAAAGAGGCAAGGATCACTGGAATTCAGTTTAGAAAGATGCCTACTGCTGGTGACAAGTTTAAAAACAAAATTTAAGGATTTTTTTATTTCTAAAAAATAAGGTATCAAAACATACAAAAGGAGAAGTAGGATACTTAAATAGAACAATAAATATAGAAGATATTTCAAATGTGATTATTAATATTATTAGATTGGTGTTTCATAATTTCTTTCTGTCTTAAGAGAGCAATATTTTAGTTATTTAAACTTTCCAGACTATAAATAAATACTGTATTTTTTGTAATTGTATCTAATAAACCTAGAGTGACCTATTGCATCATTTGATTTTACTTATTATATTGTCCCTGCTATTCTTTATCATTATTTGTTCATACATTTTGCTCACACATTTGTTTAGTTGTTTCCTTTCTCCCTACTTAACAATTAAGTTCAATGTTCTCTTCCCTGAAAATGCTTCTTCAAACAATATGGTTTCAGTGAAAGTTATACATATTATTACCTGTCTCACCAATTATCATCTCCTGCCCTCAGTCATCAAGATAAACACAGAATATAAAAAGGGCAAGTAAAATACTATAATCTTTCCCTAAGCTATGCCAATTTAGTGCTGATTTGCTGGAAGGATTATCTCTCTGCTTCCTCTTTCTTACAACTTCAGCTACTTGAATTTGTTTTCTATTATTTACAATTAGAGAAACCTGACTGGTATAACATCTAACACCCTTTCAATTTCATCACCACTTCAATGCCAATGATCCTTGTTTGTACAACAGCCTCTCCTATATTCCTATAAGACTTGCACAATTTTGGTTATACAATAGAACTAACATCTGGGTAAATGGGTCATTGGCTTTAGTGCAGGACTAATAGGGAATACAAAGTAGGGAGTAAACATTGCATCTCAGAATGCATGACTTAGAGGAAGCAGAACATAGGATTGTGCTTCATGGACTCATTGTAAGGCAATACAGTCTCTATGCACACAGATAATTTAGATAATTCAATCAGTACCACAGATACAAGGAAGACAGAGAAAACTACAGAAACTGGAAAAATAAAAGGCTTTAATCCCTTTCCAGAGTTTTTAAACTTTATTAAGCAAGAGACTTGGAGAAAACCCAATGATAATAAGTGGTAAGAGCAGAACCATAGAAAACATGACCTATTATTATTTAGTTGTCCTATTGTACCCCCAGACTGGTGGTATTTTCAGGAGCAATATTTATTTATTAAATTATTAATAAAGAGTCCTTTTGGTATGCTTCCTCAGGATTATAGAGAATAGTGATTTCCATTATAGTAAGGATTAGGTGTAATTATATCTCTTAATATCTTCTTACTTTGGATTGTTATTCTTTTTTCCTTGACAGTTTACTGGCTACCTTGAAGAGTTAGTAAATTATGTATATACAAGTCATTCTAGTATTATGTCACATTTACAGATACTTAAGGCATAAGTAATTAGATGAAATTTTATGACTTTGTGACAATTAATTTACTAATGGCATTTGTTATGTTGGTAAGATTATTGTATGTAACTTAGTTTTTTGAACTTTAGCAGTACTTGATTTTAGAAAAAATTGCATTGTTTTTCTTTTGAAAGTTCTAATATACGATTTTATGTTGGTTTTGTTTATTATCAGTACTATTACTCAAAAAACGCTGTATGATATTGTTTCACATTAACATATTAACTAATCTATCAGGAATTGTATTTCGTGATTTCCTTTTAATTTATATGACTCCAACCTTATATATGAAGTTAGTGAAAAGAGAAGAGTAAACCGAATATAGGATAGCTTGTAATCTCAGTAAAGATAATGTTTCATAATAGGCTTAGTACTACTTATCTTCATAAGTATGTAAGATTTAATACTAAAGTTATCCACTAAGATGTGAATAAATATTAAAGTAAGTAAGCAAATGATAAAGCATCTAGACTGTATTTAGAATTATTTCAATTATAATCTTGTGATATATCTACTCCTTGAAACTGTGTCTAGTTATTTTTCTTTCACATTAAAACTATATCCACCATTTTATTTGCTTATTAACATTTGTGAGTTAATGTTTTCCTAACAGTTAAGCAGAGAAAGTAGTATAAAACGCATTAAATAAAAATAGCTATAGGAAATATCAACTACTTAAAAATTTTTCTGCTTACTAAATCAATTAATTCTTAGGTATTTGTGAAATATTAATTTCTGCCAATACACAGAAAAATGCATTGAGATTTTTGGTTAGGATTATTTAGGAATTAGTCTGTTTACTAGCATAGTTCTGTGACTTACCATAACCAGAACCAAAAATAATACAAAACTTGTTTAGCCCAAACATATCCATGATTTGAAATCAACACAAAGCCACAGGATATATAGTACTTATCAGCTAAGATTTGCCATGGGTCAGGAGCCTGACAAATTTGAACTGGGTCCTCTGTTCAGGATCCGACAAGGCTGAAATTAAGTGTTGACTGGGTAAGTTCTCAATTTGAGGCTTGACTAGAGAAAAACCTGCTTCCAAACTTTCTCAGGTTGTCGGAAGGAATTGTTTCCTTGCTGTTATGTGACTGATATTCTCATTTCCTTTTAATTTAATTTAATTTTTAAAAATTTTATTTTAAGAATATGTGATAACATACATATCTGTGGGGTACATGTGAGTGTTTGTTACATGTTAAGAATGTGTAATGATTAAGTCAGGGTAAACGAACTACCCTTCACCTTTAATGTTTACCACTTTTATGTGCTGGTATCATTTCAAGTTTCCCATTCTAGTTACTTTGAAATATACATAATGTTATTGCTAAGTCATCTTAGTCCACTATCAAACATTGGAATGTATTTCTTCTATCTGACTGTGTTTTACTCATAACTAACTGTATTAGTCCATTTTCCGACTGCTGATAAAGACATACCTGAGATAGGAAAATTTACAAAAGAAAGAAGTTTATTGGACTTATAGTTCCACATGACTGGGGAGGCCTCACAATCATGGCGGGAGGCAAGGAGGAGCAAGTCATATCCTTAATGGATTGCAGCAGGCAAAAAAAGAGCATGTGCAAGGAAACTCCCATTTTTAAAACCTTCAGATCTCGTGAGACCAATTCACTATCACGAGAAAAGCATGGGAAAGACCCGCCCCCATAATTCAATCATCTTACTGGGAGAATTATGAGGGCTACAAGATGAGATTTGGGTGGGGACACAGAGCCAAACCATATCATCAACCTATCTTCATCCACCACTCCTCTCCTACCCAGTCTCTGCCATCCATTGTTCTATTCTCTATGTCCATGAGATCAAATTTTTAGCTCCCTCATAGGAGTAAGAACACACCCATTGTTTTTTTTCATAGTCGTGAGCAAGAGACTGCTTTCAGTTTCCAGGTATCACACTCTGGTTCTTGCCACATGACCCCCATTCCCATAGCTTCTCTCACACTTTAAATATCTTCCCTTAGTAAAGGTCTAATTCCTTTTATTTACTTCTGTATTTATTTATTATTTATTTTTATTTTATTTTATTTTTGAGACAGGGTCTCCCTCTGTCACTCAGGCTGGAGTACAGTGGTGGGTTCTTAACTCCCTGTAACCTCCGTCTCCCAGGTTCAAGCAATTCTCCTTCTCCCAAGTACCTGGGATTACAGGCATGCACCATGAGGCCCAGCGAAATTTTTTATATTTTTAGCAGAAATGGTGTTTCACCATGTTGGCCACTCTGGGCCTAAAATCCTGGCCTCAAGTTATCCGCCTGCCTCGACTTCCTAAAGTACTGGGATTACAGGTGTGAGCTACCACACCTGGCCTCCAGTTTCTTTTAAAGGCTCACCTGATTGGATCAGTTCTACCCAAGATAAACTCCTTTTTTTATTATCTCAAAGTCAACTAATTTGGGATCTTAACTATATCTATGAAATCCCTTTAATTCTGCCTACATTCAAAGGGAGGGGATAATCCAGGGGGTGTAAACCAAAACATAGGAATCTTGGGAGCCAGTTCTGAATTTTGCCTACCTCAGTGGTTTTGCTGATAGAACATATGTGACTAGGAGAATCCAAAAGGAAAGTTGAAAAACATGCAAATACCCTTACTTCTTTGTTACAAAGAATTGTATGCAATAATTTTGAAACACTAAAATATATAAAATATTTTAAATTATTTTTCCATCATTCTTGTATAATATAGTCAGTAGCCTAAATGTTTCAAGATACACAGGTATCTGAAAGTCTTAGTTCATGCCCAGTAAACTCTATACACCAAATTGGATATCTCATTATCTGCTTGATTATGGAAATGAAAATTCTCCATTAAAGGATCAAAAATCAAAAAGGTTTCTCTGTTAAGTTCTAATCTTCTTTCTGAAAAGAAACATCTATTTAAATAATATAATGATAATAATATATTATACAGTTTCATATTCCCTTGACTTTGCCTACAGAAAACTCTAACTCATATTTCTCCTTATCCATTAAATCTTCACAAGCCTCTTATATTTATTTTTTACCCCTTCGTCTAGTTCTCATCTAATTTCCAGAGTAGTGCATATTTATGAATCGTTCAATTATTTACAAATACACAGATGATACATGCACCTCTTTTAGTGCACACTATCTTACTGGGAAATGTCAAAACTATATTTTAAAACAGAAATTACATCTTCTGAAGTAGAGAGACTAATTGTTGAAACACCATACAAGAATGAATGCAGTTTGGGACTTCATGATAGGTGAGTTCTGAGAAAGTTCTTTTTATGAGTTGGAGGGAGTCCCATCCATTGGGCTGAGAATGGTATATGGGCAGTAACTCAATGTATCACGTAGCTGACAAAGAAAAGCAGTAACCATTGGGACTTTAGAAAATGGCACAGTATGGTGTTTGAATCACCTGAGCAGACAGGAGGAGGTTAGCAAAAGGAAAGTTTTTTTGAGAAAAAGCATGTTCATGTGTATAAAAACACAAGGTAGAAGTCAATCTACTTAAAAATAATTGCCAAAATGTTCATATTGGAAAAAAGAATATTGATCAAGATCAGGATTCTACTTCAGTTAGTCCAGTAACAAGGGTGCCTTGCTATTAAATTCCAGAATATCTCCAAAGGTGAAAAATAAAGCTAGAGGCTAAAATTAGGTTTTCCACAGGTGTGGGTCAAATATCACCCTTAAAGAGGAATTAGAAAAAATTAAAGTACAAGGCTAGGACTGAATAACAAAAAATCTTTAAATCGATTTGTTTTATAAAATAAAACTATATTTTCTAGTACCAAAATTAATAACACTATGGCTTATTAAATTATTGAACACATTTTTAATTATCAGAAAATGATTCAAAATAAAATAGTATGTCAGGTTATTTCAATAAGGTATATGTTTAAAGGAGCAGGAATAAAATAAAAAATATTTTTTATTAAGTTATCCTCAAATCTTATAAAAATCTTCATTTTGGAGATTATTCAAAGATTTTGAAAAGAATAACTTTTTTAAAGAAAGAGCTTTTTACTTTTATGACAATAAAAATATTTGGAATAGTAATTTTTAATTGTTCATAGATTTTGATTTGCTTTATAAATCATATGACTTTAAAAATCAATTAATATTAAGTATTAGCCAGGATATTTGTTTAATTTCAGAATACACTGAAGAAACTACTTCTTATTGTGATCTGGCACTTTATAGATCTTCTATTCACATTCTATCTCTTATAATTGCTTGGCAGTTAAATACAAGTTTGATAATATGTAAAAGCTATACCAGCTAGTACTGTGCATTTGTAATTAACTATGTAATTTTAAGTGATCAAAATATTGTCCATGACTATGCTCAATTAAAATCTAAAAATTAATTATATTAATATATGCTAAATTTATTAGTGGTTGTGCCTAGGTAGCTAGGAATTTATTATTGTGTTTATATAGCCATCTGTTCTAATTCCATATCCAAAGTTATTGGACATTATCCAAAAATGTGTAGCTATTGTAGACCTAAAAAATGTTAGCTGAAATATTTTACTAAACAAATAATAATTTAAAATAGAGCACTCTTTTAGAGTAGAAAAAATATAAACTAGTAAATGAATTTGGGCTATTCATCTATAAGACCAGTTTCCCTGAAATTATCTTTAGGGGAAAATCTCATATTCGCTTAATTGCATATAACAAGAGTGTAAAAAAGGGGAAATTAGTAAACGTCTTTTTCTCAACTCTTTAGTTTTAGTTTCAAAGTTTAAGTTTCACACTCATAAAATCTGCATGTTCTTTGGGTGCTTGATATCACGTTTAAATATTCTGAAGTAAGATTATGAAAAGACTATTATTTAACGTAAATGACTAGTCTTCATCCCTATGAGTTTCCCTGTGTTTTGATCATCATTGTCATTTTCTGACCATCTGTTTATTCCGTCACATTAATTGAGGGTATTGGCCCCTGTCTTCTTCCCTCTCCTTTTTAAGTACCATCATTCTTCCTTAATGATTATAGTTTCTATGAGAATAGCCTCTATTAGCATTTATTACTTTTAAGGTCAATCTCTCTATTTGTGAGCATTAAACAGGTAGTGGTAATCTTGCTCAGCCTCACTCTGGCACCATCTCCGTGCATGTTAGTCAGGATCCAACCTCTATGAGGTAGAAACCACACAGTAATTTGAAGAGTTTAACATAAAGAACTATTGACTATAGGAAGGGATTAGAGTAATGAGGAATTGGCTACTGAGAAGTAAAGAGAACTCTAAAGAACACAGGAATAGCATATTGATGTGCAGCTACTACCCTTAGAGCTGAGATAGAACACCCATGGAAGAGGATACTCCAGGACAAGATCCAGACCTTGTTGAGGAAGCACAGCCTTGGCCATTGAGTGGCAAATTCACAGGGCTGCTGCCTGAAGAAATTTCTGGAAAAGTGTCCTCCAGAATTTGCCATAAGTCAACCCCTTAAAGTGTTAAGGAAATCTCCCCACAGGGAGATGTATTATCAGAGGGACTTCTTTAGGAAACTACCAAAAGGGGATTTGCATTTGAGTATTATTACCCAAAAAACTATGGAATACAATAATGATTTAGGTTATTGAAATTCTTTGTAAACTAAAATGTTGAAAAAACTAAAGAGGGCAGAATGTATGATCTACTTGAGCGTATTTCAAAATTAACCAATACAGAAAACTATAATCTGACTGTCTATACAGCATAAAAACCAAGTCCTCAATTTTTCCTGTCAATCAATAAATCAGTCATTTCTATGTACTCAAATGGCATTTTAAAAAATTGTTATGTAATTACATCAAAATCATCAAATAACTATCATATAAACAGGGAATTAGATGACATTAAAAAAGACAATTATGTAACAAAATACAAAGATTTCAGGAGACATCACTCTCATTAAAGTTTAAAAGTCTGAAAGTAGGAAAATAAAATAAAATTGCATTTTTTAAAATGCAATTTTAAAATGCAATTTTAAAAGTAGTTGACTTTCTACTTTTTTTTATCCTTTGGCCTTAGTTTAGACTATATTGTTTCATAACTTCAATATATTTGACCCTAGCTCCGAGGTGGGAGTTGGCAAGATGAGAAACTTCAAACCTTGATTTTGAAACCCCCAGTTCAAATGTTCTGGGGTGATACTGTGAAGAGACTATCCTTAAAATAAATGATTTGATCTTCAATCAAGAAAAGTGTTAACTTCCTGGAAAGATTTCAGTTTCCTGCTCTGAAGTACTCAATTTAGCAATTTCATCAACTTTCACTTAACCATGTTATTGAAGAGAAACAGAGGCATGAATAATCTAAAAGTACAGTTAATTTTAAAGGAATATATATGAGATGATTTTCTGCAGTAAGTTTAACTTTCTAGTTATGTTGTATCTCAGCTAATAATAAAATTAGTTTTTCTTCCTCAGGGTGTAATAATTGGTAGCTAAGTAAAATGATGTGATAAGGGAGAGCCAAGCACTTTTATTAGTTAACATGAAAATATTTTTAAGCAGTACATGCATATGTGATGAGTTGAAAATTGCTGATAATAAAGAAAACTTGCTGTGTGTGAAAAGCTGGAGAATCAAAACAACTGACCCTACATTGTGAGATAGACTGGACTAAATACATATCCACACTAGTGAGGTGGATAGACTCTACTAGCCAACCTTCCATGAGTCAATGTATTTAACAGCATTTTGTAAATTACATAGAATTACATAAATACATGAATTGGAGGTTATCAAATGTTACTTTTTTGGTGTGATGCATGAACTTTTCTTAATTTCCATTATTATATGCGTAGAAAGCGCCTTTTTTAATGTTATTTTTTCCATGCTTTCTATTTTCTTATTTCCCATTTGATCAGGTAGGCAAGTTCTGTGATTTTTTTTTATCTCAAAGAATGATTCTAGTACAAAATTGTTTCCAAAAGCCCAGCCCTACAAAATAATAAGGTTGGCAAGAGATAGTTTCCTATAAATTAAGAAGAGAAACTCTTTGGATGTAGAGCAAAAGAGGGCATGAGAGAATGGTTTGGGAGAAGTCAAGGAATATGAGGCATACGAAGAGGTCATTGAGGAATTTCCAGCTCATACCAAATCAACAGAAAGCTCAATCTGCTGAGACAAGTAAGCATGGAGAAACTACACTAGCTAATGGGAAAGGCACAGTCTAATAACTAACAGCAACAACAAATGCAACCACCTTGAGAAAGCTCTAGGGAAACTGAAGCCTTTCTAGGAACAGTGTATGTAGTGGTCTGGTGTCTACAAAACTTGATTTGAAGAAGAGAGAGACTACTTTTGAAGAAATAGTTTTAGTACCATTGCTTTCTTATTCACTGACTGTATCTTAGCAATTAGAGGCAATAGAAAAAATATCAGGACCAAACCTACACTCTATGCATGCGTGAAATTGATGGAAACTATTGTGGCTTGACCAGTCATTCATAGTCATTGATTTTTCACCCCGCCCCCAAGATCACTAAGTTTACCAACTGCCAACTCCAAATGTTTCTCATAGTCATGATCACGGATATATAAAAATGTAATGCATGATAAAGGTGGTATCACAAATGCATGCAGAAAGAGCAGATTGTTTATTAGATAAGGTTGAGAAAATTCGCTCATTAAATGGAGAAAAATAAACTTGGATCTCTACCTAACTCCACATAGAAAGGTGGACTCCAGATGGCTTAAAACCTTAATGAAAAATAATCCCATAAATTCAACAAACAAAAAAAGTTAACTATCATTTTTACTAAGAAACAATGAAGCATGTCTTAAACAATATTTTGAAAGCACTAGCCATGAAACAAAGCAAACAAAAAGATGAGAGAGTGATGGCATTCAATCAAGATATTAGGACAAAAAGATAAAGGGAGAAAGTGCATAAAACTGATAAGGATTAACATTTAGCACGTAGAGATTTTACTAAAATATACTAATGACTATAAATCAATTGATAGCACTCCAAACAGGAAAATGAACCAAGGAGACAAATAGGCAATGTACAGAAGAGAAAGCTCATAAGCTAAGAAATATATGAAGATATTTTGTAATGTATTAGGAATAAGATAAAGGAGAGTGAGAATACTTAGATATCCCATTAACTTTTATCAATAGAACAATTCCAGTTCTGTGAGTTATGGGGATGCAGAGTCGCTGGTGGCCTGCTGGTGTAGCTATTCTTAAGAGCAGTTGATTCCACGTGGTTAAATAAATCTACATAACTATTAATACAGGAATTAAATTTTGAGTAAATGAGCCCAAGATATTTTCATATAAGTCCATTGAAAGTATGTACAAGGACTTATACAACTTTTGTCTATCCTTAGAAGAATGAATAATTTAAATGTGGTCAAGGCATGCCATGAAATAGTATGTATCAGAAGCAACTAGCTAGTTATACACATAATAACATAGATTTATGTTAAAACCCTAGCACTGAGGAAACAAAATAGAAGCAATAGAGTGAAATATATGCCTTAATCTTATGATAATAAATTCAAACTGTGTGCACTAAAACAACAAGACCTACATTCTAACCATACACACAGCTGAAAATATTCACAGAAGACAGAATAGGTTTTTATGGGGAGAAGGTGAGAAAGAAGAATGTGGGTAAAGCAAAAGACTCAGAGAGAACAGAGTCAGGTGAGGTATCAGTGATGGGCAACAGGTAATAATAACATCAGAGAAAGCTGAAACCTCTGGGAACTAAACTGATTACTACAGGCTGCTCAGCCTTCTCATGAGTCTACCTTATCCTTTGTCTCCTAAGGGTGTTCTTGTCTGTTTTTAAATTTTAACAAATCAGCAGCTGGTGGTTTTCTTGGTACCTATCCAGCAGAAAAGGATGATTGATGTCCTGTGACTTTGCTTGGGGTCCTGAGCTGCTGCATGAAAACCATGTGAATTCCCCCAGACACCCAACACATCAGTAAGAAATTGAAAATTGTGTGAGCCTTGGAATCTAGTGAGAGTTAAAGTGGTTGTGCATACATGAGAAATATCCACACCTGAACTTGAGCATTGGCTTTGTAAACTGGATGGAAATAGCTTAAGCCCTTAGAAAAATATATAATGATTCAAAATCATTTGATATGCTTTCTAGGTTAGTAATTACATCTTTCAATAGCAACAAGTAGTAGTTTGGAAAAGAATGAGTGAACTCAAGTAAAGTACACCAAATCTTAACTGATGAAAAAATCAAACCTACCAATATAACATATATATATATATATATTTATATTAAATTAATTGGTATATAAGTTAATTGGTGGAAAAAACTAGCAACATCTGAATAGAGCTAGGAATTTTTTTTTCTTTTTCTGGCTCATATATATATATATATATGTATGGTGCAATATACATATTTTGATATTTTCAAAAATTTTTGATACATTATCAAATTTGAAGATATTTGTCAATCAAGTAAATGTTAACACACACTGTTTTAAGCACAAGTAAAGTTCAATATGTTTTTACTTTTTTTTTTTTGAGACAGTGTCTCACTCTGTAGTCAGACTGGAGTGCAGTGGCGTGATCTTGGCTCACTGCAACCTCCACCTCCGAGGTTCAAGCGATTCTCCTGCCTCAGCCTCCCGAGTAGCTGTGACTACAGGTGCCTGCCACCATGCCCAGTTAATTTTGTATTTTTAGTAGAGATGGGGTTTCACTATCTTGGCCAGGATGGTTTCGATCCCTTGACCTAGTGATCTGCCCACCTCGGCCTCCCAAAGTGCTGGGATTAAAGGAGTGAGTCATGGCGCCCAGCCTCTTTTCACTTTTTATTGGGCATTTGACATTTATTTCAGTGATTTTTTTGTTCACTTTGAGTTTTTAATTTCAAGATCTCCGCTACTCTGCCTTTTCATTTTATATAATAATGTGGTATAATTTACAATAAGGCATATACTAAAACATAATTGTAAGCAAGAAACACAGTCCAATATGGTCTTGCTTTCTGTTTTTTTCTAATTATTTTGAATTCATTTCAAAGTTACAGTAAAAAATTAAGAAAAGTTAAAAAATTTCATATATCCTTCATACAGATAATCCATTCAGGTTTTGAAAACTATACCAATAATGTATTTTACTTCAAAAATGTCTAACCCAAGATCATCTGTTGCACTTAGATATCATTTAATCCAGAAAAATTCTTCAGTCTCTCTTGACCTTAATGTCCTATACATTTTTGAAGATAACAGAAAAGTTGTATATTAGATTATCTTTTAATTTGGATTTATTTGATACTTCTTCATGATTAGATTTAGATTATGCCTTTGGGGCATAAATATCACAGGAAAACTGCTGTATTTGTGTCATTGAATCCTAATAGTTGCCATGCGATGTCAATTTTTCTCATTATTTGTGATGTTTGATTTAATTACTTGAAGTGACAACAGCAAGGATTCTTTTCTGTAAAATTACTTCTTTTTCTTTGTAAATAAGTAAGCAGTCTGGAGGAGACACATGGAGACTCAGTAGATATCCTATTTCATACTCAGGTTCTAGTAACCTTTCAGCATCAATTGATATTACTTACCTGAATGTAATTATTGTAATGATGCTTCTCAGGGGTGATTTTCTAATTTTATATTTTTTCTATGTTTATTTTAGGCATACTACTGTAATGCAATTTTTCTCCTCCCATCCTTTCATTCGTTTATACTGGGGTGTTCTTGTGGCTTCTCATTTTATTCAATGTAATATAAAGGTGTGTATGTATGTCGGGGGAGTGCTTGTACACACACTGTACTCATGATCATTATTTATTTTGACACTCTAATTTTTCAGTTCATCCAGTAATCAGTATAGCCTCTTCAAACTGGTTTCCATGTCCTGAAAATATGCCATTAATTCTTTGAGCATTTCCTTGCTTTCTTTTATGGCAAAATATTCCACTCTTATCTAGTTCTTTCCCTGCTCCAGTCCTAAGATCACCTTTTTCAAGGAATAGTGGTTCCACTTAGAAGAGAATATTTATAGACTGAGTTCTGAGTTCTTGGTATTCTTATTTCTACAGGGAATTTGCTAGTCCCAGGCCCTGTCGGTGGATAAACTTAGAAAATATATGCATGCATATGCATATACATGGGTACACCTACACAAACACACATACACAGACTTCTACATCTGCAATTAGGTTTTTTAATCTATTAGTTCACATTTATACTTCCAAATTCAATCTATTACTGCAGGATTTATTTTCTTGCATGTGCCCTTTTCATATTTGAATATTTTTCTCCAGGTGTGAAATTTGGCTCCAGTTTTCCTCAATGTATTTATTTAATCCCCCTGTATCTAATTCCCGAAACTTGCTGGACCGACGCCTCACTTATTTCTGCTTAATGGTTATTTGACTAATTACAAAGGAAGGAAGGAAGGAAGGAGGGAATGAAGGAAGGAAGGAGGGAAGGAAGGAAGGAGGGAAGGAAGGAAGGAAGGGAAAGGAAAGAAGGGTGATGAATTTTAACTAATGTGTCTATCAATGTAAACTTCATTTCAATGAAGATATAGAACATTTCTCTCATTCCAATAAGTTCTGTCCTGCTCCTTTTCAGTAAACTCTTCATTACAGTTAAATCACTATCCTAATTTCTATCAGCACAGCTTAGTTTTATCTGTTCTAGAAATTCATGTTAATTGGATCACACAGTATGTATTTCTTTGTGCTTGCTTTGTTCCCATCTGAACATGATTATTTTAAGATTCATCATATTGTATGTATCACTATTTCATTTCTTACTCTTTCTAAGTTATATTACATTTTATAATTACTACACAATTTCTTTATTCATCCATTCCTCAACAGCTGAGTTATTTCAGTTTGGGGTTAGTAGAAAAAAATTGTCATGGAAATTTATACAAGTCTTTTGCATAAATATATTTTTATTCCTCTTGGGTAAAATACCTGGAAGTATAAGTGTGGGTCATATGATATGGGTATTTTCGTTTCTTAAGAAACCTGGAAATATTTTAATAAGTGGTTGTACCATTTTACACTGCTACCAAATATACCTGATGACACTTTTATATGAAGGAATACATTTTGTTATCAATATATGGATGTCTATTCTTCTAAAAACATTCATTCTAATCAATCATTTCCAATACGTGTGTTTAATAATATTTAGAACCTTCTAAGAATATTTATTAAATATTATTTCCTCAGGGAGTGAAGATAAGCCCTTTAGAGATTGAAAAATGAATGGCACAACAAATTTGCAGGATAAACTCATGAATAGACACATAGTGACTTAATCTGTATAATGCTGTAATCACTGAAGATTTGAAGAAAGGCTTTCTCTCTCTATTTATTTCTCTATTCCCACATATCCAATGGGAACTACTAGGTGACCAAAGTGTTTCTTCTGGAAAATTATTTAAAATTAATGACTAAAATAAAAAATAGCATGTTGATCTGATATCACACACTTAATAGTGTATGAAGTGCTAATCTTTCCTCACCAGTGCTTCCCAGTGAGAATTTCTGCTTGCCTTATTATTTATTTTTATGGTTTACCTGAGCATTATATAATGCCATATTGAAAAAGTTCTATTTTCTTCAAACATTCATCTAAGCCATAATTAATTGATTTGTTCCTGTATTAAGGAGAAACTTTCTTTCTGATGAGGCATAAACTATAAACTCATTTTTCCATAATTGACAAGATTGTGATAATACATTTAAAGAATCTTAAATTAATTTTACAGAATTAATATTTATATGTTCACTTCTGTTTGTCTCACCACACATCAAAAATTTACCATAACAGAAAAGCCATTAAAATAAAAGAGCAGCAGAATTAGAGGCTATAAAAGTTCTCATAAAATAGTAACATTTGCAATGTGAAATATTATATACAATTCTGGATAATTTTAGTGTTCTAAGACATTATATATTATTAAACAGGAAATAGCCTCAAGCATGTACATTTTGATAATGAAGATATATGTAAAATAAATACTTTATAACCATACTTTATCTTAGTAATTATACACAGCATTAATAAAGGAAAATAATTAAGTATAAACATACTAAAATGGTGGTCTGGTTATGCATTTGTTAAGTAGAACTGATTTATTTTCTATTATACGCATTTAAACTAATATTTAGCAGCCTCATTTACCTTTACAAAACTAAAACTCACTATTGTAAGAGAAACATTTTCATAAATCTATTGATCTCTACTTATTTTAGAATAAACCCTTGTATAGAGTGAAGAATACAAAAGTAAGTTTGACATGCTTTGCTCAGTGAGTTACGCACACTAGCTTTGCCATGATACTCAGTGAAAAATACTCTTAGGTAAACCTTTATTTAATTGGAAAAAATACTCCTCCTCTTTATTTTTTACTAGGAAACATATGTCTCAACAATTACCAACCCATGCCTCTTATTCTTTGACATTAACTACATTAAATTTTGGCAATATATTTGATAAAATACAGAACAAGCATTCTTACTATTATAAGCATAGCATTTATTAAGATAAACTAGTAAGAGTATGTAAGAAAAAATACTATAAGAAAGAACATAAATATTTGTATAATATTAGTATTTTATGACTACTCAGGAAGCAAATAATGTAGATTATAAGATTGCAGCAGATAGCTCATATCCCCCTTATTCTTCTGTTTTGTATTTTACTACATAGCTTTCAGATATTAGTTTTACTGAGTAAATAAAAAACAAATGAGACAAATTAATGAAAACAAGGCTCTAAGTTCCAATAAATAGATTAAATAAAGAGCCAACTAAAGAGAAATAATATCACTTGTTCAGTTCATTCATAGGGGTACAGCAAAACTTCACAATAGCATTACATACAAAAATCTTGAAATTACCAAAATTTGCTCGTATTATAATATTAAGACTCTACTGTACATATTACAGCATAGTTAAGCCATCTGGGTGACTTAATTATATCTCAATGGTCTAAGAAATATTTACTGCTAAAAACATTTTTAATTTTTCTTCTATCGAAGTATAAGACAAATAAATTAGTGAATCACTTTTTTAAAAGAAAAATGTAGAAGTGTGAGGAGGCAGAACTGAGGTATTTACATACATTTTCATAATATTTATGTGAATTTATAGTAAATATAAAGTAAGTAAAACTTGACACAATACTAACTGAAAATTACTTCAGTGTTTTGTGTTTTATTATGTATGGAAAAAAAGAAAAAACAGAGTAACAAATCTAAAAGTGACACACATAAAGAATGCTTATTGGAAAACAAATTATCCTAGAAGCTAAATAAATGTTCAGGAAAATACTTTTTCTTAATGATAAAGGTAGTTTTTAAAAAGCAATAAGATAATCAAAGAACAGTTGCAAGTTAACAATGATTGATGATAAAATACATAAAAGGGAGAAGAAAAGTGAGTTAGTGATTTAAAAAATGGAAGGGAAAGTTGCTCTGGGAAATAATTATAGAAATCAAAATCATTTGGTGTATTGAATGATAATATTAAGTTTGCCTAAAAACATTCTGAAAACTATAAGACAGTTTTGAGAAAAGTATAACATAAAATGGACAAGAAAACAGTGTGTATATTGATATAGAAAGCCTTCAAAAATACAGTATTAAACAAAAGTAGTCTATTATTATTCTTTGATACAATAATTTTACTAAATATGTACTAAAAAGTTATTCATATGCATAAGTACATATATATTCAAGATATATGCACATATACATATGTAATTCTTCTAAATATGGGTATTGGGTTAGATAAAGTAGGCCCTACTCTGCACACACAATTTCCGTAATGATGAAGTTAAAAAAAAGTTAATGTAATATTAAGTTAATGCTGAAAAAATGTTAAGTCATTCTCTACTCTTATGTTTCTTCCAGTAGTATGATGCCTCTGGCTTCCCTCTATCACACGTCTTCTTTTCGAGTAAAGGTTTTTCATAAATGTGAGCGTGGAAGAAGAAACCAGGTATGTCCACATAGATAAGTCCCTTCCCCCTCACCTCTCTGGACTATGGCTGACTGCACAGGTCATAGGTTCTTAAATTCGTTATACTTTGGGTTGTCAATAGCCAGTATTAACAGGTCTTTCCTCTAGAAAGTGGAAAGAAATATTTTTTTAAAAAATTACTAGCTATTATGTAATACAATTTTTTTAAATGAATAATTTCTAATTGCTTTCACAAAAATTTTTAAAAAAGCTTTAATTTTTAAAGCTAAATAAGTATGCTATTGTTGGAATTTTTACAAAACAATTTAAAAAAAGGAATGATAATTTTATAAAAATTTTGTTCCCATATACCTAAGTGAGAAAGAGTTTCTCACTTAACACTATACAACAAACAATAGGGATAAAATGAAACATGGTACTAAAGGGTGAATATTGTCTTATTTAGGATTAAATAATATCCATCCACAGACAATAACCAATTACAATAATTAGTAAACATATTTGCCCAGTAAGGAATTCAGTTACAGTAAAAGTTTCCTTATTTTTAATTTTTGTTTGCTTGAGGAATTATTTACTAGTAATTTTAATAAATTCTCATTTGTGACTAAAAACTTTAACTTAGAACCATAGAGGCCAATATTTTTTTAAAAATAAATTATAATATTTAATCCACATTTTTGCAGAAAGTTATAATAATTAAATCAATATAACATTATAAAGCATGAAATATATTACAATAAACTCTTTGGGTGTGATGAAATAAAAATACACATCAAATACTTATGAATAAACCAAAATTTCTCTTGGAGATGAGCTTTTTGATGTATTTCAAAATGTTTACTTATAGGTTTCAAAGTGTTGTATTAACAGTGTAATGTAATAGTATTTTAAAACATTTATATTTAAAACATGTTGAAATGACTGTTTACATTTAAATTAATATAAAAACTGTAGGAAATAAAGTGAAAAAATATGAGAGAATATATGCTTTCTCAAATAATTTTTAGTGGAAAGCATAAGCCAAAAGACATGCACCTATTTTTTATTTTAACTTTTTGATTATGAATATGTAATAGTTGTACAAATTTATGGAGTACATGTGATATTTTGACACAAGCATGCAACGTATAATGATCAAATCAGTGTAATTGGGGTATCTATCACTTCAAGCATGTACAATTTGTTTGCATTAGGAAAATTCCAATTACATTCTTTTTTTTTATTTTGAAGTACGCAATACATTATATTGTCATCCTATTGTGGATACAGTCATCCTATTATGCAACCAAAACACTAGATTTTATTCCTTCTATCTAACTGTAGTTTTATACCCATTAACGATCTTAACTTTATCCCCTGCTTCACTGTTTCCCAGCCTCAGGTAACCATCATTCTACTCTGTATCTTCATGAGTCCAATTTTGTTTTGTGAGCTGCCACATATTAGTGAGAAAAATGCAGTATTTGTCATTCTGTGCTTGGCTTATTTTACTTAACACAATGTCCTCCAGTTTCATTCATGCTTTTATAAATGACAGGATTTAATTTTTTTATGGCTGAATCTTGCATTTTGTATTGGAATCACATTTTCTTTATCCCTTTATGCCTCCATGGACACTTAGGTTGAGTTCACATCCTGCGTACTGTAAATAGTGCTGCACAGGAGTGCACATAACTCTTCAATATACTGATTTCCCTTTCTTTGGGTTATATACACAGCAGCAAGATTGTGGATCATATAGTAGTCCAATTTTAATTTTTTGGGTCACCTCCATATTCGTTCTCCATAGTGGTTTTACCAATTGACATTTCTACCAACAGCGTACAAGGGTTTTCTTTTCTCAAAATCTATATCAGCATTCGTTATTGCCTGTTTTTTTAAGCCATTTTAATTGAAATGAAATAATATCTGATTGTAGTTTTAATTTGCACTTATTTAACGATTAATTGTGCTGAGCATTTTTTTAGGTACTCTTTGGCCATTTGTATGTCTTCTTTTCAGAACTATCTATTCGGATTGCCTGCTTTTTAACTGGAATCTTTCATTTTTCTATTGAGTTGTTTGAGCTTATATGTTATGGTTATTAACACCCTGTCAAATGGGTTGCAAATATTTTCTCCCAGTTTGTGGGTTCTTTCTTCACTTTGTTGGTTGTGTCCTTTGCCGCACAGAAGCTTTTTCATTTGATGTGATTCTGTGTCCATTTTTGCTTTTGTTCCCTGTGCTCTGGAGGTCTAACTCATGAAATCCTTGCCCAGACCAATGTTCTGAAGTGTTTCTCTAATGTTTCCTTCTGCTAGTTTCATAGTTTTGAGATATAAGTATCTAATCAATTTTGATTTGATTTGTGCATGGTGAGAGATACAGTTCTAGTTTCATCTTTTGCATATGGATATTCCAGCACCATTTATTACAGAGACTGTCTTTTCTCCAATGTATGTTCTTGACACCTTTGTTGAAAGTGAGCTGACTGTAAACATGTGGATTTATTTCTTGGTTCTCTATTCTGTTGCATTGGTCTAAGTGTCTGTTTTTTCTGCAAATACCTTGCTGGTTTGGTTACTAAAGTTTTGCAGTATAATTTGAAGTCAGGCAATATGATGCCTCCAGTTTTATTCTTTTTGCTCAGGAATTCTTTGGCTCTTCTGGATTGTTTGTGGTTCCATATAAATTTAAGGATCTTTTTTTTTAAATTTATGTGAAGAACTTCACTGGTATTTTGATAGGGATCACATTAAATCTGTAGATTGCTTTGGGTAGTATGAACATTTTAACAGTACTGACTCTTCCAAACCATGAATGTGGAATACCTTTCATTTTTTTTTGTTTTTTGTTTTTTTTTGAGCAATGAGACAAAAAATGGAAAGGAAGAACTCAACTTATTCTTGTTTACAGAAGGTACGATCTTATGTTTAGAAAACCCTAAAGAGTCAACCAAAATAACTATTAGAACTGATTTAAAAAATCAGTAAATTTGCAGAATGCAAAATCAACACACAAAAATCAATAGCATTTCTATAAACCAAAAGTGAACAATCTGAAAAAGAAATCAGGAAAACAATCCAATTTACAATAACTATAAATAACATAAAATGCAGTGAAAACTGTAAAATATTGATGAAACGCATTGAAAAGGCATGTATTTATGGTTCAATTTCCATTTTATAGATGAGGGCTGTGAAGACAGGTGAAATTATTGTTAACGTAGAAAATGAAAAAATCTAAACAGTATTTTCAGGACAAATGGTATTTATTTCCACCAGATTATATTTTTAATATATTTTAAGTGATAAAAATATGTAGCTGATAATTTAGTCCTAAAATTATATAATCACATATGCTGTCTAATTTCTCAAATTTAGGACCCCATGATGGAGTCAAAAATATCATCATACTTTGGATTACTTGTGTATGTATATATGTATGTATGTATGTGTTTGCTTACCACTCTACACATGGTATAATGTTGAAAGCTTCTTTAGATATTGCTTTTGTGGAGAAACTGAGGCTCAAGATAAAAGGTTATTTTTCCCTTTGTTAAATAATTCATTCTTGATGTGTCTAACCAAATTAGGCTCTAGGACTACGGGTTGCTCATTTGCATTTGTATCAATTCCACGAAACTCTAATTTGTATGAAATTAAATTAGTCACATTACAAAGTTGGAAAATATTTCTTTTAATTTTTACTGGACATCTTATATTTTTGTCATATTTTGCTATAGGTATTTGGATAAATGGACAGAAAACTAAATCCAAAAAAAAAAAAAAGTGTATTCTTGAGGACAGCCAGCTAAGTCAAACTTAAGGGTGAAGAGTTTGTGTATGAGTCAAGAGTTTAACAATGGAGGCCATTTGTCAAACTGGTTGTGTGTAGCAATACAAACATTTGCCACAGGTGGTGGAAATAGACACCGAATTCAAATAACAGGAAAAAGTAGAAAGTAAGGAAGTAGAGACAGCAAATGTAAACTATTTTCTCAAGAATCTTGGCCGTGCCTTCCATAAAGATAAAAATGACGTACTTTAGCACTGAGAAACAAGTGATCGAATCTTGCTTATGACACTTTTTAATAGCTGTGTGATTTGGGGCAAGCCACAAACTGTTGAAAGCTCAGCCTCTCAAGATGCGAACTGAGGGTAAAAATATCTGTATCAGCTGAGTGCGGTGGCTCACGCCTGTAATCCCAGCATTTTGGGAGGTCGAGACGGGCGGATCACGAGGTCAGGAGTCAGAGACCAGCCTGACTAACATGGTGAAATCCCATCTCTACTAAAAATACAAAAATTAGCCGGGCGTGATGGTGCAGGCCTGTAATCCCAGCTACTCAGGAGGCTGAGGCAGGAGAATCGCTTGAACCCGGGAGGCACAGGTTGCAGTGAGCCGAGATTGTGCCGCTGCACTCCAGCCTGGGTGACAGAGTGAGACTCCATCTCAAAAAATAAATAAATAAATAAATCTATCTCATGGGGTTATTGCAGGCATTATAGGAAATTATCTATTAAAAGTAATTAACACACTTCTCATCATATAGTAAGTATGTAACACATAGAGTACACAACACTAAATACAGTATAAAGAAATAGCTAATTTAAGGGTATATTTTGCACAATAATTTTAAATATAAAATGTGCTTAAAATAATTCATAAAAATTATTGAAGGAATTAATTCATATTCAAATTATTGGGAGCATTTTAATTTAACATATATTTTTATTAAGATAAAAACAAACAAACAAACAAACAAACAAAATCATTTTATTCTAGATAGGGAGACCAAACCGAAATTCCTGATTTGATGAAAGGTAACTGTTTTAGTCTTCTCATATTGCTATAAACAAAATACCTTACACTAGGTAATTTTTAAAGAAAAGAGGTTTAATTGGCTCATGGTTCCTCAGACTGTATAGGAATCACGATGCTGGTCATCTGCTTGGCTTCTGGGAGGCCTCAGGAAACTTACAATTATGGTGGAAATCGAAGGGGAAGTAGTCATGCCTTACATGGCAGTAGCAGGAGGAAGGGGCAGGGAGGTACTACACACTTT
The DNA here is from genome assembly GCF_000001405.40 of Homo sapiens. Classification (NCBI taxonomy): domain Eukaryota; kingdom Metazoa; phylum Chordata; class Mammalia; order Primates; family Hominidae; genus Homo; species Homo sapiens. The sequence continues at coordinate 83,995,758 of NC_000003.12, forward strand.
TTAACAACCAGGTCTTACGATAACTCATTCACTATCACACTACAATACCCAGGTAAAAATTCTCCCTCATGATCCAATCACTCCCACTAGGTCCCACCTCCGGCATTAGAAATTACATTTCAACATGACATTTGGGCGGGGACACAGATCCAAGCCATATCAGTTACATAAAATTTTCTATTTTCCAATTTAAAATTAAATACTTTGAATCTAATTGCTAACAAGTTAGATCAACATAAATAACTCTTCATAAATTTCTCTAGATTTATGATTCTCAAACATCTACTAAAAATTATGACAGATAGAAATAATGTTAGTCCCAGCCTCTGCTCCTCCTATTGTTACTTTGTAGCTAATTTGGGGTGCTATGAATTTGGTTGTTAGAAGAAATTCAGTAAAAAATTTATGACCAATTCTTAAAAATGTTTTAGCCATGTGTTTATATACATGCGTGTCTGATTTTTTTCGTTACAGATATAACCTGATTTGAAAGTCACAGAAATAATCTGATTTGAAACCATGATAGATCATGATAGTCACCAAAAAGTAGTTAACATTTTCATTTTTATGACTACATGGGTGATATGCATAAAAGTATAACAATAGTCCTCACTGGACTCTAATTTAGAACCAAGCAAGCCTTTGTTTTTCATTTATTTTTATCAAATTAAAATAACATCCTTTATTTCTCAGCAAAAGTATGTTTTCATTTTCATCATGTTTTGTATATTTATTTTGCTGTTGTGCAAAAGATAGTGTCATTTTATTTGGTGGTACAATACTTTCAGAACTGTTTAAAAAAGTTAAGCTTAAATAATTATTATCTAGTTTATGTGCATAAAAAATTAATGTAAAAAAATCCACAATATTTTGCCATTTGACTAGTGTAGATCAAATATAAATGTTTATTTAGTATGATTTTTAGAATTATATAGAAATCTGATTATTTTAGCAATTTGATGTTTTTTATCTGTTCTTGTATGGAAGAAAGAAAAATGTTAGATTTGCGTATTGCTCTTACTAAATTGACATTAATTCTTACATAATATGATCAAATAGGTGTTTGCAATAAAATTGTATGTGTTGCTTTGATATACTCACATATGAAGGACTATTTGTAATAATTTTGTAGTAAAATTCATAGTTTTATTTTAGAAGGCTCCAATATTTCAGGTGTGATACTTTATAAGAAAAATTCAGGTTTTCTGCAGTATTATTGAAAGGCAAAATAAATCGTGAGCAGTACATAACTTAAGTGAGATATTAATGTTTTTATATCTATTTATACATTTAGCATTTATACAACTTTCTCAGTATATTACTAATTATAAAACAATATAACGCTTATCTATGTAACTGAGCAAAACCACCTACAAACTGTCAACAAATGTTGATGCACCTCTTCTGTAAAAACGTAATGGTTATTTTCCTGTGGCATCAGAATATTAAATTTGAGATACACTGTGATTAATTGATCAAGGACAGTTCTTGTTGAGTAATTATATTTAAGAAGGATCTGTCAATACCATTTGCTTTCAATTGTCATATTAAATCTAAGATAATGAGTACAGGTGTACTGAGTGATGTATGAAATAATGCAATTGAGTGAAAAAATTCAAATAAAAATATAGATAATTAAGAACTAAAAGTAGGCAAAGTAAGATAATAGGGTGAGATTCATTGACTGCCTTCAGGATACTGAAAAATCAAACAAGTCTGCCAATGATTTAAATGTTCCACTTAGTACACTGAAAATATTTCCTAGACATACTTCATAAAATAGCATCACGAGGCCTAGACAAGGTCACAAAGTAATATTTAAACTAATACCAAATGATCTAAAACTTAAAAAACTGGTGTGGTCCAAGGAGAATATGGTTAATAGTTTTATAGAGGAGTATCAAATGTAATTTATAATTCTAAAACTATAACTAGGAGGAAATTAACATATTATTGTATTAGAATTTACCATATTCTGATTTTGCAGTTCTCAAAAAATATATGTTTACACGTATAAGTTGTTTGTAAGTAGCATGCTCTCAGAACTCAGTAAATATGTGTATTTTGCAAATCAGATGAGATTTACCATTTAATGAAGAAAATAATTTAAAAAGGAAAAGTTATACACATAAAAGCCATGATGTTAAGTTAAAATATTCCCCTAATCAGAAGTATAATTATAAAACCAAGCTAAGACCAAAATGAATAAAATAGTTTTTTAAAACATAGTATATAATGTACTAAAATTCTGAAAGTTATTTATAAAGCTTGTGTACAGGCCCAGATTAAATAAGAAAATATTTTATCATTTAGAAAGTTATTTATTTAATTCAATGTGTAATTATTTAACTAACCTAATCTCAGTTTGCACACCTCGGTAGTATGGTTGTTGTTACCTGCTACCTGTGGTTGATCACTTTAATGAATTGCAATATACTGAAAGCTCTCCAGTTATTAATGCTTTGCTGTAGGATTAAAGCTATTGCCAAATTCAGAATAATTTATCCAGTGTTAATTATAAAAGTGTTTATTAGATGTCTCTGTAGAAATAATAATTTTATTTTATCTTTAAGTTCCATAGAGTAGGAGTACCAGGTTTCAAATGGTTGGAAAAATTAAATGTTAGAAAATGGAATTGTTAAATTCAAATGTTTATTATTGTTCAAATAATCAAGTTAGGAAAGAGAAAATTGATGTGCAACTTGTTCTCCATACCAGTTATGACTTAGCATTTTAAACAATTAAGAAGAATAGTTCCAAACTACAATGTATAGACTACCATGAAAAAAAAATGCTCACTTTCTCAAAATATATGTGAGTTTTGATTAGGAGACTTCAAATTACAGTACTCAGCTTACAGATGTATTGAGGTCATCTATAGTGTTGATCTACATATCTCTGGGATAAAAGATAAAATGTTGGAAAAGCAGTTCTTGCATTTTTTCTAGCTGTTTAGTTTCTTTTGGGATGTGTGCCCAGTTTTCCTACATCTTCCATTACTAAAGAGATTGTGGTAATATGGATTTTTTTATGACAAGGATATTCATAAAATTCCTGATGTACACACACAAATTATATTCATATAGTCTTGTGTGAGGTTTGTGAGTAATACATAGACTGTACTCAGAGTTTTAAAATTAATTGTTCTTTAAATTTTAGGATAGTCCTTTACACAAAATAATTCATTGATTTATGGAAAGTCTGCAATGAAAAATGACATGTACAGTCTCATAAGTGTTTTGTCAGCCTCTAAATTGTGAAGAAAAAAACCAAAATGTTTCAAAATTGGTTAAGTTGGATGCTTTCCCTTTCTCCAAATTTAAGTGGTGGGCAACAAAGCCCCTAGGAGACTCTAAGATTTTCAAAGTGACTTAAATCCTTCTTAGTTGTTTGAAAGTTGTACCTGATTTCAAGGATAGCTTTTTATCCTAATAAAATTTTTTGATAAAGGATACATATTATATCACATAGTTCATACTATGTAACAGAGTTTTTTTCTTTTAATGAAAGTTTATTTTTATACTTTGTAGAGACAGTTCTTTTTTTATTATTATTATACTTTAAGTTTTAGGGTACATGTGCACAACGTGTAGGTTAATTACATATGTATACATGTGCCATGTTGGTGTGCTGCACCCATCAACTCGTCATTTACATTAGGTATATCTCCTAATGCTGTCCCTCCCACCTCCCCCACCCCACAACAGGCCCCCCAGTGTGTGATGTTCCCCCTCCTGTGTCCATGTGTTCTCATTGTTCAATTCCCACCTATGAGTGAGAACATGCGGTATTTGGTTTTTTGTCCTTGCGATAGTTTGTTGAGAATGATGGTTTCCAGCTTCATCCATGTCCCTACAAAGGACATGAACACATCCTTTTTTATGGCTGCATAGTATTCCATGGTGTATATGTGCCACATTTTCTTAATCCAGTCTATCATTGTTGGACATTTGGCTTGGTTCCAAGTCTTTGCTATTGTGAATAGTGCCTCAATAAACATACGTGTGCATGTGTCTTTATAGCAGCATGATTTATAATCCTTTGGGTATATACCCAATAATGGGATTGCTGGGCCAAATGGTATTTCTAGTTCTAGATCCCTGAGGAATTGCCACACTGACTTCCACAATGGTTGAACTAGTTTATAGTCCCACCAACGTTGGTGAGACAGTTCTTAATATGTTGCCCAGGCTGGTCTTGGACTCCTGGCCTCAATCAATCCTCACACCTTGGCCTCCCAAAGTCTTAGGGTTACAGCTGTGAGCCACCACACTTGTTTTAGGAACTGTACAAGGTGTTTGCTAGACTCTTCATCCAGTCTTCGACTCCTACTGTAATGAATCCACTCTGGAGTTTTCAATTTCCTGATGGTAACAGGCTTCCAAAGGCTCTTAGCTACCCTGAGAACATATGGGAAATGCCAACAAGAAATGGAGAGGTCTCCACTGGGATCAGAAATACTCCTGGAGTTATGGAGGCCAAGATGTCCAAGGTCATAGGGCCACATCTGGTGGGATCTTTCCTGCCGGTGGGGACAGTGATGAATCCCAGGGCTGCGCAGGGTATCATATGGTAAGAGGGCTGAGCATGCTAGCTCAGGTTTCTCTTCTTTGTATGGTTTTTATTGTATTGATTTTCATTCCAGTAATTTTTGGGGAACAGGTGGTGTTTGTTTACATGGATAGGTTCTTTAGTGGCAATTTTTGACATGTTGTTGCACCCATCACCCAAGCAGTATAACCGTGCCCAATGTGTAGTCTTTTATCCCTCACCCCCTCCCGCCTTTCCCTCTGAATCCCCAAAGTCCATTGTATCATTCTTATGCCTTTGCATCCTCATAGCTTAACTCCCACTTATAAGTGAGAACATACAATGTTTGGTTTTCCATTCCTGAATTAATTCACTTAGAATAATGGTTGCCAACTCCATCCAGATTGCCGTGAATGACATTATTTCATTCTTTCCTGTGACTGAGTAGTATTCTATGGTGTGTGTGTTTGTGTGTGTGTGTGTGTGTGGATGTGCGTTTCTCGCTCTCTCTCTCTCTATAGATAGATAGATAGATAGATAGATAGATAGATAGATAGATAGATTCATTCTTTCATTCCTTTTTATGGCTGAGTAGTATTCCATTGTGTGTGTGTGTGTATATATGTATATGTGTGTATATGTATATGTGTGTGTATATATATATGTATATACATTCTTTCATTCCTTTTTATGGCTGAGTAGTATTCCATGTTGTGTGTGTGTGTATGTGTATGTATATGTGGGTGTATATATATGTATATACATTCTTTCATTCCATTTTATGGCTGAGTAGTATTCCATGTTTGTGTGTGTGTGTGTGTGTGTATGTGTTTCTCTCTCTCTCTCTCTCACTTTCTATAGATAGATTCATTATTTCATTCTTTTTTACAGCTGAGTAGTATTCCATAGTGTGTGTGTGTGTGTGTATATGTTTGTGTATATGTATATGTGTGTGTATATATATGTATATACATTATTTCATTCCTTTTTATGGCTGAGTAGTATTCTATGGTGTGTGTGTGTATATATATATGTGTGTGCATATATATATATAGGAATTTTTATATCATATATATACACATATGTATATATACACACACACACACACACACATATATATATACACATATATAATCACATTTTCTTTATCCACTCATTGATTGATGGGCATTTGGGCTGCTTCCATATTTTTGCAATTGTGAATTGTGCAGCTATAAACGTGTGTGCAAGTGTCTTTTTCATATAATGACTTCATTTTTTCTGGGTAGATACCCAGTGGTGGGGTTGCAGAATCACATGGTAAATCTACTTTTGGTTCTTTAAGGAATCCTCATATTGTTTTCCATATGGGTTGTACTAGTTTATATTCCCAGCAGCAGTGTAAATGTGTTCCCTTTTCACCACATCCACACCAACATCTATCATGCTTTGATTTTTTAATTTGGCCATTCTTGCAGGAGTAAGGTGGTATCGCATAGTGGTTTTGATATGCATTTCCCTGATAACTAGTGATGTTGAGCATTTCTTCATATGTTTATTGGCTATTTGTATATCTCCTTTTGAGAATTGTCTATTTATGTCCTTAGCCCATGTTTTGATGGAATTTCTTTTTCCTTGTTGATTTGTTTGAGTTCCTGGAGTAGATTTCACATATTAGTCCTTTGTTGGGTGCATAGTTCATGAAAATTTTCTCCCACTCTGTAGGTTGTCTGTTTACTCTGCTGATTATTTCTTTTGCAGCATGAAGCTTTTTAGTTAATTAAGTCCCATCTATTTATCTTTGTTTTTTGTTGCATTTGCTATTGGGTTCTTGGTCATTAACTCTTTATCTAAGCCAATGACTAAAAGAGTTTTTCCAGTTTTATCCTCTAGAATTTTTATGGTTTCAGGTCTTATATTTCAGTTTTTGGTCCTCTTGAGTTGATTTTTGTATAAGATGAGAGATGAGAATCCAGGTTTATTCTTTAATATGTTGCTTGATGATGATCCCAGCACTATTTGCTAAATAGGGTGTCCTTTACCCACTTTATGTTTGTGTTTGCTTTGTCAAAGATCAGTTGACTAGATTTAGCTTTATTTCTCAGTTCTCTATTCTGTTACATTGGTCTATGTGCCTATTTTTATATCAGTACCATGCTGTTTTGATGACTATGGCCTTGTAGTATAGTTGTCAGGTAATGTGATGCCTCCAGATTTGTGTTTTTTGTTTGTTTTTGCTTTGTCTTTCCTTGGCTATGCAGGCTCTTTTTTGGTTCCATATCAACTTCAGGATTTTTTTTTTTATAATTCTGTGAAGAACAATGAGAGTATTTGATGGGAATTGCATCAAATTTGTAGAATTGCTTTTTGCAGTATGATTATTTTTACAATATTGATTCTACCCATCCATGAGCTTGGAATGTGTTTCTATCTATTTGTGTCATCTTTGATATCTTTCAGCAATGTTTTGTAGTTTTCCTTGTAGAGGTCTTTCACCTCCTTGTATAGGTATTTTCCTAAGATACTTAAGTATTTTGTTTTTGAAACTATTGTAAAAGGAATTGAGTTCTTGATTTGATCCTCAGCTTGGTTACTCTTGGTGTATAGTGGTGCTACTTATTTAGATACATTGATTTTTGTATCCTGAAACTTTACTGAATTTATTTATCAGAGCTTTTTTTTTTTTTTAAGATGAGTCTTTAGGGTTTTCTAGCTATACAATCATATCATCAGTGAACAACAACAGAATGACTTCCTCTTTATCAGTTTGGAAACCCTTGATTTCTTTCTCTTGTCTTATTGATCTGGATAGGAGTTCCAGTACTATGTTGAATAGAAGTGGTGAAAGTGGGCATTATATTCTTGTTCCAGTTCTCTGGGGGAATGCTTTCAATTTTTTTTTGTTGTTCAGTAAACTGTTGGTTGTGGGTTTGTCATAAATGGCTTTTATTACCTTAGGGTGTGACCCTTCTATGCTGATTTTGCTGAGAGTTTTAATCATAAAGGAATGCTGGATGTTGTAAAATGCTTTTTCTGTGTCCATTGAGCTGATTATACATTTTTTGTTTTTAATATTGTTTATGTGATGTATTACATTTATTGACTTGCATATGTTAAGCCATCTCTGCATTCCTGGTATGAAACCCACTTTATCATGGTGAATTATCTTTTTAATAAGCTGTTGAATTCACCTAGTATTTTGTTGAGGTGTTTTGCATCTACGTTCATCAAAGATTTTGGTCTGTAGATTTCTTTTTTGGTTATGGCCTTTCTTGATTTTGAATTAGGGTGACACTAGCTTTATACAATGATTTGGGGAGAATTCCCTCTTTCCCTGTCTTTTGGAATAGTTTCAGTAGGATTGGTACCAATTTTTCTTTGAATGTCTGATAGATTCAGCCGTGAATACATCTGGTTCTGAACTTCTTTTTTTGGCAATTTTGTTATTGCCATTTCAATCTCTCTGCTTGTTATTGGTGTGTTAAGAGTTTCTATTTCTTCCTGGTTTAATCTAGGAGGGTGGTAAATTTACAGGAATTTATCTATCTCCTCTAGGTTATCCAGTGTGTGCACATCAAAGTGTTCACAGTAGCTTTGAATGATACATTGTAGTTCTGTGGTATTGGTAGTAATATCTCCCATTTCATTTCGAATTGAGCTTATTTGGATTTTTCTCTTCTTTTCTTAGTTAATCTCACTAATGGTCTATTAATTTGGTTTATCTTTTCCAAGAACCAGCTTTTTGTTTCATTTATTTTTTGTATTGTTTTTGTTTGTTTTAATTTCATTTAGTTCTGCTCTGATCTTTGATATTTCTTTTCTGCTACTGGATTTGGGTTTGGTTTTATCTTGTTTCTATAGTTACTTGAGGTGTGACCTTAGATTATCTATTTGTGCTCTTTTAGACTTTTTGATGTAGACACTTAATGCTATAAACTTTCCTCTTAGCACTGCTTTTGCTGTAAGAGGTTTTGATAGGTTGTGTCACTATTATCATTTAGTTCAAAGAATTTTTAATTTTCATCTTGATTTCATTATTGACCCAACAATCTTTCAAGAGAAGATTATCTAATTTTCAAGTATTTGCATGGTTTCGAGGGTATTTTTTTTTTTTTTGGTGTTGATTTCCAGTTTAATTCCACTGTGGTCTGAGAGAATACTTGATATAATTTCAATTTTCTTAAATGTATTGAGGCTTGTTTTGTGGCCTATCATATCATCTATGCTGGAGAATGTTCCATTTGTTGATGAACAGAATGTATATTCTGCAGTTGTTGGGTAGAATGTTCTGTAAACATCTGTTAAGTCCATTTGTTCTAGGGTGTAGTTGCTGACTTTCTGTCTCAATGACCTGTCTAGTGCTGTCAGAGGAGTATTGAAATTCCCCACTATTACTGTGTTGCTGTCTATCCCATATCTTAGGTCTAGTGGTAATTGTTTTATAAATTTCGGAGCTCCAGGATGGGTGTGGTGGCTGACATCTGTAATCCCAACACTTTGAGGGGCTAAGGCAGAAGGATGACTTGAGCCCAGGAGTTTAAGACCAAACTGGACAACACAGAGAGACCTTGTCTCAATTTAAAAAAAAGAGAAAGAAATCAATGAATAAATAAATGAATTTGGGAGCTCCAGTTTTAGGTGAATATATTTAGGATTGTGATACTCTCCTGTTGAACCAGTCCTTGTATCATTATATAATGTATATAATGTCCCTCTTTGTCTTTTTTAACTGTTGTGGCTTTTTTATCCTGATAAAATTATTGCATAAGTGATGTGTATTATATCACATGTACATATCATATCATTTACATAGTATGGCAAAACATTATACCACTTAAGCAATATTATTTTAATATCACATTTTATTCTTAAAATTGCCAAATAATTTCTATATAAAGAAATTATCTTAAGCAGTGATTTAATAAATATAATGTAGTTGAATTCATTGCTGAGAGGAAAAACAAAGTATTCTCCATCCTTCAACAGCATTTGACATGCAGTTTGTTATTGTACTTTAATCAGATAAAGCTAACAATAAAAATTTGTCTTATCTTTTCAATTTGTAAGTCTTTGTACTTTAATCTTTTTTAAATTGGATTATCTCATAGTGCTGATATAATCTTAGGAAAATGGAGGATATTTAGACACATAAATCTGATTCACATGTGTAATATGATTTTCCAAGACATGTCAAATGAAATTGGTTTAAAGGTTGTTTTCTGTGTAGTTGCTCAAATGTTGCCAGTATGAGATATGAAGGATTCTTCAATTTACATTTCTAATGTAAAAAAAACTGAGGCTCGATAGAAAAAATAATCTGTACATTGGAGTTATTTAAAAGTACTGCCATTTTGAGGGCATATGTTTTATTTAGGAAATATTCTCTCTACCTCCTGCATCCTGACTTTGAGAAAACATGGAATAACCTCTTCTAATATCAATATCAAATTTCACTTATCTATTAAAATTCACAATTTTAAAAATAAAATCTATTTATTTCTTAGCTATTGTAAGCTTGTGTTTGATATAGTGTGATTGGCATTGTTGTTTTTCTGTTAAGGAATTATTATTCTAACCAGTGCAAACAACTAATTGACAAACTTTTTTAGTTATTAAAAATCAGATTTTACAAAATACTAATAAAGTACCTTTTATTTAACTTGATCGGTAAAAAGGTATGCTTCATTTTAATGTACATAATTACCTACAAACTCTTATATACTTTTAAATTGGTGTATGAAGTAACTTAATCTAGGACACTTAATCAAGGAAAAGAAGAAGACATAAAAATGACTTTCTCCTGCTTATCGTCAGACATTTATTTTATGTAACTTACTGATGTTTAAATAATTGTGAAGCATAATTATTTGTAAGATTGGGTTAGGTCGTGCATGCTATGGAAACCAATAACTCAAAAATGTTAGTTATTTGAAGCAAGATGATTTACTTATTATTCATGTCATTTGTGTACCGTGTATATCCTACAACATAGGCTATCCTTTATATCTCCTTAGTCTGTAATCCAGAATAATAGCAAGGTCTCCATGTGGATGTTGCCATGCTAGAAAGAAATAGAATAAAAATTTTAAAAGATGGAATTTGCAAGTCACTAACTGACTCTAAAAATTCCTTCCTTTTCACTTACATTTTATAAAACTGGGTTCTAAAAGTATTTTCCGTGGACCAGTAACATCAGAATTGCCTAGGAACTTGTTGGAAATGTAAAAAGTTTCTGTCCCTAGCTCCAGAATTACTAAATCAGTAACTCTGGGGTACGGGCCTAGTAATCTATGTTTTAACTAGCTCTTTAGTAGATTTTGATGCTCAATAATGTTTAAAAACCACTGTCTATGGCAAACCTTGTCTAAAGCTAACCTCAAAGAAATGGGAATGTACAGTCAATTTAAGTGTTCTGAGGATAATCAGAAATATTTGATGGCTAGTAATAGTGAATACAACATGAGATAAAATATGAGAAAAACATGATTGCTGTTGGGCCCTAGTCATTCCTTTGATAACTATTATCAAACTTAAATTTGTATCACCTACTTAGTCAAAGGGAAACCTTGGGTTACAAAGATACAATATGAATGTGACACTTAAAGCTTACAATATAGATAGAGAGACAGATATGTTACCCAAATTGATGAGTAGTGACATGAAACAGTTTATGTTAATTGCCCATGTGGCCTTGTCAATCAACAAGTATGGGCTGATTGTCTGGAGTTTTATATTGAGACTTCTGAGACAATCATCAGATATATTATAAAAGATTGCTAAAGTCAATCTAATTAGGACTGTTCACATGGGTAGGGAGGAATAAAAGAACACACATGACATGTATTTGTATCTTAGTTTTTTTGTGTGTTGCTATAGTAGTCTGTTTTGTGTGGCTATCACAGACTGGGGTATTTTATAAAGAAAAGAATCTTATTTATCACAGTTCTGGAGGTTGGGAAGCCTAATATCAAGGTGCTGGCATCTTGCCAGAGCCTTCATGTTCAGTTATCCAATAGTTGAAGGTGGAAATACAAAAGACTGAACTCACTTTTATAAAAACCCACTTTTGTAATAACTAACTCACTTCTGACTACATGAACCCATTCATGATGGCAAAGGTGTCATGGACTAATTGCCTCTTAATGATCTCACTTCTTAATACCATCACAATGGCCATTCAACTTAACATGAGTTTTGGTGGAAGCATTCAAACTGTAGCACTTTGCTATCCCTATTTATTCAAAAAGTGAAACAATTTATGCTAAGATATTAGGTTTAGAAAAGAAAAAAGTATAGAGTAGATAATAAAAATGAACAATTGTCCTAACGACACATTATATTGGTCTTATACTGAAAGAGTTTCAGAAATTCTGACAGGTGAGAGAGAAACAATATTACATATAGAGTCATTAGTTCCTATATGGCTCTATCTTCTTTTAGATCATATCATTAATAGGCCAGTTTACTTCTTAGCACAAAAGAATAAAGTCTTATTTTTGACTGAATGCATTTTAATTCTTATCTTTACAGAAGAATATTATCTTTTATCTTTTGTTGATTTATCATTGTATGCACTTAAAGCTTTTTAGTCTTTTTAGTTTTGTGTTAACCTACCTTTCTAAATAAAAACTCATGAAATATTCTTTTATTGAATTGGCACTGTTTCTTTGTAATTAATATTATAAAGCTATTCTGACTTAATTTTATAATTTTCCTTAATAATTTTAAACTTAATTTTATTTAATATTATTTACTGTATCTATTATTATATGCTTGAATTAGTATCATAGATTTATTTAGTCATTTGTATAATTATACAATGCTTATAGTTGTATGATAGCAAATAATAAAAAGAAATTAAATTTGTTTTTTCCTTAACAATAGTTAAATATGGAACTTCACACCAGGACACAAAAGGTGGGTAATTCTATTTTTATAGCCTTCTTAATGACTAGAATTTACCATAATATTATGGTATAGCAAAACCAATTTATATTTGGATTATAATTTTACATTTTATATTGAATTCTCCATCAAAATTTAAAACAAAACATTTAAGCAAATCTCTAACAAATGTGCACTCATGACAAAGTGTAGAAAATGCAAAAGTCAAAATAAAAGTAAATATGAAGAGAAGGGACAATCTCTCTGAGGAAAATTTTAAGATAATTTACAAATAATTTGCTAACACTAATATTAACTCATACATTATTTGCTTAAATCATCTAAGTAATCTAAATTTCTTGATATGACATTGTTAAAAAACAGTTTTAAATTGTCTTTTTTGAGTGGCAACAAAGTTTTAAAAATTGTGTTGAATTTATTTTTCAATTGAAAATTAAAAACTGTTTATATTTATTATGTATATGTTGTTTTGAAATATATATATGGTGTGGAATGATTAAATTTAGCTAATTAACATATGCATCACCTCACATATTTATCTTTGTTTTTGTGGTGAGGACACTTAATATTTACTCTCTTAGCAATTTTCAAGAATACATTATTATTAACTATAGTCACTATGTTTTACATGAGATGTCTCATGTTTATTGCTCATATCCCTTTGTAATTTTGCATTCTTTGCCAAATAACTCACCAACCCATCCCACACACTGGCCTCACAACTTTATCCTTTCTTTCTAGGACTTCAAACTTTTAGATTCCACAAGTATGTGAAAAGATGCAGTATTTGTCTTTCTGTGCATGGTTTACTTCACTTATCATCATGTCCCTCAGGTTCATCCACGTTGTTGCAAATGACAGGATTTCATTCATTTTTAAGACTGAATAGTACTCCATTATGCAAATATACCAGATTTTCATTGTCTATTCGTTCACTGATGAACACGGGTTAATCCTATATGTTGGCTATTGTGAATAAAGCTGCAATGAATATGAGAGTACAGATATATTCTTGACATATTAATTTTATTTTATTTGGCAATATACCCAATAGTAGCTAGATCATATCAGAGTTCTATTTTTAATTTTTGAGGAAACTTCATACTGTTTTTCATAATAGTTATTACTAATTTACACTCAGTATACAAGAGTTCCCTTTTCTCCACATTCTTTCCAAAATTTGTTTCCTTTTCCCTTTTTGATAACAGCTACTCTAACTGGGGTGAAATAATATCTCACTGTGGTTTTAATTTTCATTTATCTGATTAATGATTTTGAGCTTTTTAAAATAAATACTTGTTGGCAATTTGTATGTCATCTTTTGAGAAGTGTCTATTAAAATTTGTTTGCCTATTTTTAATCAGGTTATTTGTTCTTACTATTTTGTTATTGGAGTTTCTTACATATTTTAGATATTATGTGCAAATATGTCCTTCTATGCTGTAAGTTGTCTTTCTACTCTTGTAAAAACAAGACCCAAATATATACTGCATACAAAAGAGTCACTTCATCTGTAGGGACACAAGTAGCCTGAAAGTGAAGAAATGAAAAACAAAATATTCCATCCCAATGAAAACCAAAGAGAAGGAGTAGCTCTACTTATATCATGAAATTGACTTTATGTCAAAAACTGTGAAACAAGAAAAATAAGGTTATTATGCAATGATAAAGGAGTTAATTCATCAAAAATGTGTAACAATTGCCAATCTATATGCATGCAATATCAGAGCAGTAATTATATAATGCAAATAATAGTAGAACTGAAGTTAGGGATGCACTGTAATATTATAATAACAGGGTAAGTCAATACCCTACTATCTGCAATGGAAAGATCATCAAGGCAGAAAATCACTAAGAACATATGAGACTTATACTGCACTTTGGAACAAATGGAGCGAACAGACATACACTGAACATTTTACCCACCATTAGTGGAAAACACATTCTTCTCCAGTACACATGGAACATCCTCTATGATAGATCATGTGTTGAGCCACAAAAGGAGTCTTAATGAGTTTTGGAAGATTAAAATAATATCATGTATTTTTTCTGACCACATAGTATGAAACTAGAAACCAGTAATAGGAGAAATTTTAGAAAATTTATGAATACACGAAAATTAAATAACACCCTCCTGAGCAACCAATGGATCAATGAAGACATTAAAAGTGAAATTCAAGTAAAGCACCCTCAGCAAATTTAACAGAACAGAAATTATAATAAACTGTTTCTCAGACCACAGTGTAATCAAATTACAACTCAGGATTAAGAAACTCACTCAAAACCACTCAATTAAATGGAAACTGAACAACCTGCTCCTGAATGACTACTGAGTACATAATGAAATGAAGGCAGAAATAAAGATGTTCTTTTAAGCCAATGAGAGCAAAGACACAACATACCAGAATTTCTGGGACACATTTAAAGCACTGTGTAGAGGGAAATTTATAGCACTAAGTGCCCACAAGAGAAAGCAGGAAAGATCTAAAATTGACACCCTAACATCACAATTAAAAGAACTAGAGAAGCAAGAGCAAACACATTCAAAAGCTAGCAGAAGGCAAGAAATAACTAAGATCAGAGCAGAACTGAAGGAGATAGAGACATAAAAAACCCTTCAAAAATCAATGAATCCAGGAGCTAGTTTTTTGAAAACATCAACAAAATTGATAGACCGCTAGCAAGACTAATAAAGAAGAAAACAGAGAAGAATCAAATAGACGCAATAAAAATTGATAAAGGGGATATCACCACTGATCCCACAGAAATACAACCTATCGTCAGAGAATACTATAAACACCTCTACGCAAATAAACTAGAAAATCTAGAAGAAATGGATAAATTTCTCGACACATACACCCTCCCAAGACCATAGCAGGAAGAAGTCGAATCCGTGAATAGACCAATAACAGGCTCTGAAATTGAGGCAATAATTAATAGCTTACCAACCAAAAAGAGTCCAGGACCAGATGGATTCACAGCCGAATTCTACCAGAGGTATAAAGAGGAGCTGGTACCATTCATTATGAAACTATTCCAATCAATAGAAAAAGAGGGAATCCTCCCTAACTCATTTTATGAGGCCAGCATCATTCTGATACCAAAGCCTGGCAGGGACACAACAAAAAAAGAGAATTTTAGACCAATATCCCTGATGAACATTGATGCAAAAACCCTCAATAAAATACTGGCAAACTGAATCCAGAAGCACCTCAAAAAGCTTATCCACCATGATCAAGTGGGCTTCAACCCTGGGATGCAGGGCTGGTTCCACATACGCAAGTCAATAAACATAATCTATCATACAAACAGAACCAAAGACAAAACCCACATGATTATCTCAATAGGTACAGAAAAGGCTTTTGACAAAGTTCAACAGCCCTTCATGCTAAAAACTCTCAATAAACTAGCTATTGATGGGACATATGTCAAAATAATAAGAGCTATTTATGACAAATGCACAGCCAATATTATACTGAATGGGCAAAAACTGGAAGCATTCCCTTTGAAAACTGGCACAAGACAGGGATGCCGTCTCTCATCACTCCTATTCAACACAGTGTTGGAAGTTCTGGCCAGGGCAATCAGGCAGGAGAAAGAAACAAAGTGTATTCCATTAGGAAAAGAAGAAGTCAAATTTTCCCTGTTTGCAGATGACCTAATTGTATATTTAGAAAACCCCATCATGTCAGCCCCAAATCTCCTTAGGCTGATAAGCCACTTCAGCAAAGTCTCAGGATACAAAATCAATGTGCAAAAATCACAGGCATTCGTATACACCAATAACAGACAGAGAGCCAAATCATGAGTGAACTCCCATTCACAACTGCTTGAAAGAGAATAAAATACTTAGGAATCCAACTAACAAGGGACGTGAAGGACCTCGTCAAGGAGAACTACAAACCATTGCTCAACAAAATAAAAGAGGACATAAACAAACGGAAGAACATTACATGCTCATGGATAGGAAGCATCAATATTGTGAAAATGGCCATACTGCCCAAGGTAATTTATAGACTTAATGCCATCCCCATCAAGCTACCAATGACTTTCTTCACAGAATTGGAAAAAACTACTTTAAAGTTCATATGGAACCAAAAAAGAGCTGACATTGCCAAGACAATCCTAAGCCAAAGGGACAAATATGGAGGCATCACGCTACCTGACTTCAAACTATACTACAAGGCTACAGTAACCAAAACAACATGGTAGTGGTACCAAAGCAGAAATATAGACCAATGGAACAGATCAGAGCCCTCAGAAATAATACTGCAAATTTACAACCATCTGATCTTTGACAAACCTGACAAAATAAGAAATGGGGAAAGGATTCCCTATTTAATAAATGGTGCTGGGAAAACTGGCTAGCCATACGTAGAAAGCTGAAACTGGATCCCTTTCTTACACCTTATACTAAAATTAATTCAAGATGGCTAAAAGACTTAAATTTTAGACCTAAAACCATAAAAACCCTAGAAGAAAACCGAGGCAATACCATTCAGGACACAGGCATGGGCAAGGACTTCATAACTAAAACACCAAAAGCAATGGCAACAAAAGCCAAAATTGACAAATGGGATCTAATTAAACTAAAGAGCTTCTGCACAGCAAATAAACTACCACCAGAGTGAACAGGCAACTTACAGAATGGGAGAAAATTTTTACAATCTACCCAACTGACAAAGGGCTAATATCCAGAATCTACAATGAACTCAAACAAATTTACAAGAAAAAAATCAAACAACACCATCAAAAAGTGGGCAAAGGATATGAACAGATACTTCTCAAAACAAGACATTTATGCAGCCAACAGACACATGAAAAAATGCTCATCATCACTGGATATCAGAGAAATGCAAATCAAAACTACGATGGGATACCATCTCACACCAGTTAGAATGGCAATTTTTAAAATGTCAGGAAACAACAGGTGCTGGAGAGGATGTGGAGAAATAGGAACACTTTTACACTGTTGGTGGGACTGTAAACTAGTTCAACCATTGTGGAAGACAGTGTGTCGATTCCTCAAGGATCTAGAACCAGAAACACCATTTGACCCAGCCATCCCATTACTGGGTATATACCCAAAGGATTATAAATCATGCTGCTATAAAGACTCATGCAGATGTATGTTTATTGTGGCACCACTATTCACAATAGCAAAGACTTGGAACCAACCCAAATGTCCATCAATGATATACTGGATTAAGAAAATGTGGCACATATACACCATGGAATACTATGCAGCCATAAAAAAGGATGAGTTCATGTCCTTTGCAGGGACATGGATGAAGCTGGAAACCATTATTCTGAGCAAACTATTGCAAGGACAGAAAACCAAACACTGCACGCTCTCACTCATAAGTGGGAGCTGAACAATGAGAACACTTGGACACAGTGTGGGGAACATCACACACTGGGACCTGTCCTGGGGTCGGGGATGGGGAAGGGATAGCATTAGGAGATATACCTAATGTAAATGACAACTTAATGGGTGCAGCACACCACCGTGGCACATGTATACCTATGTAACAAACCTGCACGTTTTGCACATGTACCCTAGAACTTAAAAGTATAACAACAATAACAACAACAAAAGTGAAATTCGCCCGGGTGCGGTGGCTCATGCCTGTAATCCCAACACTTTGGGAGGTTGAGGCTGCCAGATCAGTTCAAGAGCAGCCTGACCAACATGGAGAAACTCCATTTCTACTAAAAATACAAAATTAGCCAGGCGTGGTGGCCCATACCTGTAATCCCAGCTACTCGGGAGGCTGAGGCCAGAGAATCGCTTGAACCCGGGAGGCAGAGGTTGTGGTGAGCCGAGATCACGCCATTGCACTCCAGCGTGGGCAACAAGAGTAAAACTCCGTCTCAAAATAACTAACTAAATAAATAGAAGTGAAATTCAAAAATACCTGGAGAAAAATGAAAATGTAATGTAAACGTAATGTAGCAAAACTTATGGGATCCAGTCAAAGCAACTTTCAAATAGGGAAGTTTGTAAGTTAATAGGCTCCAAATAAAAAAATAAGAGAGATCCTATTTAAACACCCTAATTATGTACTTCGAAGAACCAGAAAAACAAACTGAGCCCTAAGCCACCAAAAGTGAAAAATAATAAAGATTAAAGTAGGAATAAGTAAAATAGAGACAAAGAAAGAATAGAAAAGATAAATGTAACTAAGTTTTTTTTTAAGATCAAATTGATAAATCTTCATAGAGAAATACTAAAAGAAAAAACAAGAAGACTCAAATAAATAAAATCAGAAATGAAAGAGGAGGCCTTGCAATAGATATCATAGAAGTACAAAGGATCATAAGAAGACTATGAATGAACAACATATACCAATAAACTGGATAACTTAGAAGAAATGGAGACATTCTTAGACACATAAAACCTACCAAGACCAAATCTTGAGGAAACAGAAAACCTGAACAGAATGATAACTAGCAAGAAATTAAAGTAGTAATGAAAATTCTTCTACCAAAGAAAAGCCCAGGACCTGATGGCTTTACTGTTGAGTTCTGCTACAGATTTTAAAAAGAACTTACACCAATCTTTCTTAAACTTTTCAATAACATTAACAAGAGAATACATCGAAATTCAATTTACAAAGCAAGCATTACACTAATAGAGCCAGACAACAATAATACAAAAAAGGAAATTACAGAAAACTATTGCTGGTAAACATAGATGAAAAAGTCTTCAACAAAATATTAGCAAACCAAATTCAATATCACAGTAAAATAATCATTTACCACGATCAATTGAGATTTATTCCAGGGATGTCAAGATGGTTCAACATGTGCCAATAAATCTGATATATCACATTAACACAGTGAAGGACAAAACAACATGATTATTTCAATAGATGTAGAAAAATCATTTGACAAAATTCAGCATTACTTCATAATAAAAACTCTCAACAACTTAGGTATAGAAGGAATGTATTTCAACACAATAAAGGCCTGATATGACAAACCCACAGCTAACATCATACTGCTAATTCATACTGTATGGATGGGATGCTGAGAACTAAGACAAGGGTGTTCATTCTTGTCACCTCTATTTTATGTAGTTCTGGAAGTCCTAGTCAGAGAAATTAAGTAAGAGAAAAAATAAAATACATCCCAATTGGAAAACAAGAAGATAAATATACCCTGTGTGCAAAAGACATAATTTTACATATAGAAAACCCCAAAGACTCTACCAAAAAACTATTAGAACTAATAAATTCAGTAAAGTTGCAGGATACAAACTCAACACATAAACATCAGTAATTTTTCAATACACTAACAATGAACTATCTGAGAAATAAATCAAGAGAACAATTCTATTTACAATAGTATCAAAAACAAAATACTAGTAAAATGCATAGGAATAAATTTAACCAAAGAGGTTAAAGACCTGTACACTGAAAACTATAAAACATCAATTGAAGATTGGAAGAAGACACAATGATGAAAATATGGCCCACATTCATGGATTATAAAATGAGTATTATTAAAATGACTATACTACTCAAATCTACAGATTCAATGCAATACCTATGAATACACCAATAAAATACTACTGATATAGTAAAAGCCATCCTAAATGTATATGAAACCATGATAGACTGAATAACCAAAGCAATCTTGAGAGAAAGAACATAACTGGAGATGTCACACTAACTTCAAAATATATCATAAAGCTATATTAATCAAAACAGCATGATACTGGCATCACAATAGATATGTAGACCAATGGAATAGAATAGAGAGCCCAGAAACAATTCCATGAATTTACAGTTAATTGACAAAGTTTCCAAGAATGCACGATAGGGAAAGGACGTTACCTTTCAGAAACCATGTTGCTACAACTGTGTAGCCACATACAAAAAAATTAAATTAGATTATCATCTCACACTATATACACAAATCAAAATTGATTAAATAATAAATGTAAGACATGAAACTGTAAAACTAATAGAAAATTTTAAAAATTAAAAAAAAAACAGGAAAAACTCTCCACGATACTGGCCTGGACAATGATTTTTTTGGATATGGCCCTTAAAGCACAGGCAACAGAGCAAAAATAGACAAATGGATTATATCCACCTAAAAAGGTTCTGCCCAGTCAAGGAAACAATCAACTAAATTGCCTACTAGTGTTATTTTCCTTCTCCATTTTAGTTTGAGATCCTTGAAGTTTGAATGAACAAAACTGTTCATTCCATTTTGGAGAGTAGATATAGAATTTGAATTTATATCTTTTAACATATAGGTTTTATCTGACTTGTTACATGTTAGAGAATATGTCAATGGGCTCACTGAATACCTTGATAGATTTAGATTTCTGAAGTAACTCAGTGTGTGTGAGAGAAAGAGAAAGAGAGAGGGAAATACAGAGAGACAGAGCCAGAGATAGAGAGAGACAGGGAGGGAAGGAGGGAGGAAGAGAACGATTTTATTTTTTCTCAGTATTTCTTAGTGTTTATGTTTCAATGATTTGTACCTAAATTCTGACATACATATCACCCAAATTATACAGTATCTGGACCCACTAACACATGTTTTGTTTGAGTTTTTATCCAGGTCACTGGAATCCACAAAAATCTGCTTTATTTTTGTTTGTTAGTATCTGCCTACTATTTACAAATGGACTGAATAGGTACATAAATAGTTAAGTATTCAATTTCAGTCTAACTTTTCAGCAAAATATTTCAAGTTGGTTCTGCTTTATAAAATGACACTTACAAGTTTTAGCTATTTACTATTTGAAGTTAACTATTAATTTTGGTACATTTGGTTGCCAAGTTCAGAGAATATCCAATCAGAGCGACTTAACTCAAAAGCCATTCTGCCTTTATGTGTGCTGCTCTGAAATTTTTCCAACTACACCTTTGCTTAAGAATAAATTATTTCAAAAGAAGGAAAATATCATTGATAAAATTTACTCTTAGGGATCTTAGTATTTTTTTTCTTTCTAAATATCACCTCTCAAAATGTTAGACTTGTTAAATATTGGTGATTTTTATTCATTCAATAATAATAATATTGATGAAGATACCCAATTAAGCACATTCTACTATATAAACTATTTGGTATTTATAATAAAATTAAAATATGATTCCCAAATACAAGGAGAGTGAGTAGTCAGTAATACTTTTAAGCCATATTCATGCAGAATCTTAATGTGTTTTATTTCTTCAGCGATAATCTTTATATATAGCACATTTGTAAGGATTTTTCTTATATTTCATATGTGACTTGTACAGAACCTTGTTACATTCTTTTATTAATATAGTTACTTTGATCCTAGTTTTCTCAAAATTGCAATCAAAATAGTTAATTTATTTAATATCAAACTTATATTAAATCATCTTTATATCTCCCAACAGTACTTGAATACATTGCATTTATTTATTTTATATATTGCTGTAGATTTATTTTCTTTTAAAGTATGTTTACTTAGCATCAAGGGGCCATGTTCTAGAGTTGGGGTTTTATTCCAGCTTCCACAAATGTATAAAGTGGCTTTAATACATTTTCTGAGGTTCAGATTTTTCTGCTCTAAAGTGGTGCTAACAGCATAAACTGCTCAGAAATTTGTGAATTTTCTTTGAGTCAACAAATCTGTTTCTATCTGATCTTCTCAAATAATTATTAGTTCTCCACAGTATTATAGCTGCTCTTAGCTATATATTTTTCTTCTTTTACTTTCTTTGGGTTTACTTTTTTTCGTATTTTATTTAAACACTTACCATATTTAAATAAATACTATCTTTTTTATATTTTATTTACTGAATACTATGTAGCAATATTTATCCCTAAATAACACTACTGCTTTAGATGCATGCCACACATGTTGATATTTATTATTTACATTATTGTTAAGCTCCACGTTTTTCTATGTCTGTTAAGAAATGTTTTACTGCATACATTATTATTATTATTATTATTTTTAATAATACTTTAAGTTTTAGGGTACAAGTGCATAACGTGCAGGTTAGTTACATATGTATACATGTGCCATGCTGGTGTGCTGCACCCAGTAACTCGTCATTTAACATTAGGTATATCTCCTAATGCTGTCCCTCCCCCCTCCCCCAACCCCACAACAGTCCCCGGTGTGTGATGTTCCCCTTCCTGTGTCCACGTGTTCTCACTGTTCAATTCCCACCTATGAGTGAGAACATGCGGTGTAACTATTTAACTATGTGATTTAAAGTCTCCAAGAAAAAAATTTGTCGTTGTTATTATTTTAAAACTGTTTTGAACTGTTTTCAGAGAAATATTGGGTATGATACAATCTACGAGAATTCTTGGTAGCTGTCTTTGGAATATTAGTCATTCAAAAAGTAATTTTTCATGTCCACTTAAAACCAATAAAGTAATGTTTGTGTCCAGAAAAGTCTATGTACATTTGATTAAGTTTATTGAATGTGCAAGTCAAATCTTCTATATCCAACAGTACCAGACATCAAAACTGAGTATAAAGCTATAGGAATAAATTTAGTGCAAGGATGTACAAACTGATCATTAGAACTAAAGACACTATAAAAATTGACCCAAGGTTTCCTGAATTATAAAAGTGGTAGCACTACCATTAAGAAGAGGGAATGGATGACGTTTTCAATAAATGAAATGGGGTCAACTGAATAAAAATGTAGAGAGACTATATACACACACACACTCAGACACATTGACCTCAAGTTCACAACATACAAAGAAATAAATTCCATGTGGACTGTGACTTTAAATGTGGAAGGCAAAAGAATAAACAGTGAGATTTGAGAAGACAAGTGTATCATTTTATATTTCAGTTATATAAGACAAATTATATATATCAATTATATAAGACAAAAAATATATATATCATGGTGATCTTGGTGTAGTCACAGATTTCTCAAATAGGAAACAGAAAAACAGTTAAATAATGGGGAAAATAAAGTTAACTATATTTAATTAACCACTTCCATTCATCAAAAGACACTGTTAATTACCTAATTCTGAAAAGAGGGTCTTCTATGAAAAATGTCTTTAAACCATAAAAGTTAAGAAAATTAGACAAATTAGCAGAAAAAAATCAAAACCCTTGAATGGACACTTCACAGAATGGGCCATTCAAATTTGCACTGACATATGATATATATATATATATATATATACACCCATGTATGTGTGATATATATGCTTATGACATATATATGTGTGACATATATGTGTGATATATATGCTTATGACAATGAAAAAAAAAACTGCAACCTGAAACCACTACAAACTTATGACAATTACTAAACTAAAAGATGCTAGAAAATACTGGTGTTAATAAGGAGATGGATCAATCAGAGCTCACAATTCTTTGTTAAGGAAGAAATGTCCAGCACAACTCAGATTCTGTCTCCATTCCTCCTAGAACAGGATGTTCTGCAAGACTTGTACTCAGACAGCTCAGTTGCATGCAGGTTATATAAACTCAGGATGGAGCACTTTTAGGGTCCATCAGCTGTAGTGCAATGTGGGGTACATGCAGACAAGACTCCAGTTATTTTAGGCAGCTGTTCTGAGCATTGGAGGACCACCTCACCATGAATCCTTAGCTTTTGTTTATCATTCCTGCCTATGTGTAATAAATCTGCTTTTCTTCATTTGTTGTGTAAATGTTCTCTCTCTCTGGATTCATACAATTAGCAAAGAATCTTTCATTGCCCTGGCAATCAGTACTCAGTGGCCATGATGAATAAGTAGGTCAGCTTCATTGCTTGATGGTGTCCAATATGTCCCTCAGGCTCTGTTCACTTTCCTTCAATCTCTTTTCTTTTTGTTCCTCAGACTCAATAATTTCACCTCTCTTATCTTCAAGTTTATTGATTCATTTCACTACCTTCATTGAATTCATTTTTCTGCATTCAACTTTTGACTGGAAGTTTCATGAATTTAGTATGTACAGCCTGGATCCCATTACTCTTTTTCTTTCAGGTCAAAACATTTCCAACTTCCTAATGGTTCTTTTCCACCCTAAAGAAAAATATGCAAGTTCAAGTCACAATTCTAACTCAAATCTGACCTTGAATCCCTGCGGCAAATTCTTTTTGTAATATTCAGCTTCAGAATTTCTTTGTGGATTCTTTTTTGGTTTTCTATGTCTGTATTCATATTTCCATTTTGTTCTTACATTCTTTTTTTTTTTTTGAGATGGAGTCTCACTCTGTCGCCCAGGCTGGAGTGCAGTGGCGCGATCTCAGCTCACTGCAAGCTCCACCTCCCAGGTTCACGCCATTCTCCTGCCTCAGCCTCCTAAGTAGCTGGGACTACAGGTGCCCGCCACCACACCTGGCTAATTTTTTGTATTTTTAGTAGAGATGGGGTTTCACCGTGTTGGCCAGGATGGTCTCATCTCCTGATCCCGTGATCCACCCGCCTTGGCCTCCCAAAGTGCTGGGATTACAGGCGTGAGCCACAATGCCTGACCTACATTACTTTATTGTCATTGTTCACAATTGTAGTTCTTTGAGCATCTTTAATACAGTTGTTTTAAAGCCTTTGTCTAGTAGATCCACCATCAAGTCTTTTTCAGTGACAGTGTCTATTGGTTTACTTACACATAGAAACAATTTTTCTGTTTCTTTATATGCCTTGTGATTTTTTTTATTGAAAACTGAACATTTGACTTTTACAGTGTGGTAACTCTGTCTATGAGATTCTCCACCTCACCCTGAGTTTGCTGTTTGTATTATTGTTTTGTGGTTTTTTTTTTTTTTTTTAAGGGTCTCTTTTCCAAAGATCCACCTGAGGTGTAAAGTTTGGGTCCTTTCATTTCTTTTCTGAGCCTGTGCCTTTCTCCAGGCATATCTGGTCCTTTTTAATTTTCTCCAGGTATGCAGTTACTTTTGAAAGTCCTAGACTTTAACATTTAGCTCCCAAAGGGAGAAACGAAGAAAAATAAAAGAGAGAAGCATCTCAATTCATTAAACCCCCTGGAAGTTACTTTAACTACAAGGGGAGGAATAGGTTTGCAACAATGGATGGAAATACGACAGTGCTTCTCAACTCTTGGTTTATACCTCTGTGATCAGAAGCAGAAATCAGAACAGAGATCCCCAATATGTGAAGGAAGAGGGGTTTTTTTCATTTGTGTGCTTTTTCCTTTTGTCTGTCCTGGCTTCCTTGAGCTTTATGCAGACTTATTTAGGAAAATAGGGACAGCTGTTAGCCATGGGGCTTGGGTGGAGGATGGCTAGCTGCTACTGTACTAAGAGATTAAATTGACCAAAATTGCTTGCAATGCACCATCCAATCATTCTCCTGGAACTTGCAAGCCTTCAATAGTTTCCAGAGTCTCAAAATAGCTACATTAGACAGATTCTGTCAGTTCAATTGTTGTCTAGGTAGTAAGATTGATCCTTTGTGCTGCCTACCATACTATTTTTCCAGAATCTTTCTAGAAATGTAAAAATGTTACATTTTTAACATAAACATAATCTTTCAAAATTGCATCTTCTTATATATTGTATGTAATTACAATCAATTTAATTTTGTATATATATTTTTTATTCAGTACTCTTTCTAAATTTCATTATTATGTTAATCACTTCAATCCTTTAAACAGTATTTAAAAATTTTATTCATTATGTTATTGTATTTCAACTTCTTGAAGAGCCAGATTCCCTTTCTAATGTGTCACACCTCCCTAGTGTTACTTTTTTTCAAAATTTCTTTTTCTGAGCTTTTATTTGTATGTGTTATTTTGTTAAACATTATTTTACCAATTTTTTTATTTTGTATCAACATTATATAAAATCAAAATTGTAGAACTCCACTACTGTCATTATTTTAAATTTGGTTTGATTTTTTGAGATTCTCAGAACTGGAGCAATTTTTATGTGACTTAGAGATTCTTCAGTGTGACTTGGAAATTCTTACTACACATGGCTAGTATAAATAAATGTAAAATATATAAACCTTGCGATTTTGTTATCATTCTGTACATTTAAGCATACAAATTTACAAAAAAAAATTGTATCTATAACATTTTTCATGGTAAAAGTATCTTTCAAATATTTACGTAGTCCTCTATTAAAATGTTAACCATTATAATAATCAATTTATGAATCCATTATATAATTTTTACTGCAAGAATAACTTGATTTAGCACTTATTTTATTATTCCCTTAGGCTGCTGTAATAAAGTTCCATGAACTAGATGGCTTAAAATAACAAAAAAAATATTATTTCATAGTTCAGAGACCTGGCTATTTAAAATCAAGATGCTGGCAGGGTTGGATCCTTCTGAGACCTGTGAGGGAGAATGTGTTCTGTGCCTCTTTTCTAGCTTTTGACGGCTGCTGGCAGTTTGGCATTACTTAACTTTCAGATGCATCATTTCAATATCTACCTTGATCTTCACATGATATTCTCTTTTTTTGTTGTTTATATGATATTATTATTATGAGGACACTAGTAGGAGCTGACTCTATATGACCTCATCTTAACTAATTATATTTGCAATGAGCCTATTTCCAAATAAGATAATATTCTAATGTACAAGGGATTAAGACTTCAACATATCTTTTATAGGAGTGGGAGCACAATTCTGCTCATAACTTTGGTAAACATTGTACTTAATAGATAATCCTTATAGTTTATCCACTTTTAATTTATGACAACTATAACAATTTTATTTTGTTCATTGAACTTTTGACTTAAAGTTTCATGTATTTAGCATGTACAGCCTGGATCTCATTACCCTTTTTGTTTCAAGTCAAAACATTTCCAATTTCCTAATAGTTCTTTTTCTCCCCTAAGGAAAACTATGCAAATTCAAGTCAGAATTCTAAAAGATTATTCTAACCATCACCATGTCCAATATATTTACATTGCTATAAATTCCTTATATTAGATATGTTTAACTCTAGTCTCTTCCATTTAGGTCTTCTACAAGAATCTAAATCTAAGTGATAATATCAATCTTTTACAGAAATTAAATGTGCTTGGGGTATCCAGATTGCCTCTTCCCCTCCTCATGATTTCAACACATTCGTCACAAAGCAACTACAATTTTAAAACATAAAAAATAATAAAGTCATTTACTCAGGTGAAGCATGTCACTGGCTACCACTGTGGCCCTCAAAGTATTGTATTATCTGGCTTTTTCCAACCTCGCTATTCTTATATCATGCTAATCACTGTCTTCAGTTTAATCTATAATCACATGCTTTTTAAAATTTCTAATGGTTGTTTTCTTCCTGTCCATTTTCACTTGCTGTTTATTATTCCAAAAATCTTATACCCTACCCTAACCTCTACTTCCTCACATACTGAATTGAATAGCACGCTTCAGTTTAATGGGTTTTTCCCTCTGGAAATCTTTCTTGATCTTGGAGTCCAGCTAACATTTTATAGCATGTATCTTTCTCTCTAAAATTGACACAACTTTAATATATGATTTATTCTAGTAAAAAGAGTTCATTATTTCTCTCTTTAACATTTGAACTACAGTAAACTAAAAGCTTTTAGAAATTTAGGTAGAAGTAACATTAGATTTGAATCCTTCTGTAATCTCAGACAAGCAGCTGCTTGGATATACATTTAGCATTCAATATCAACTTGCTGAATGAATGACCATCTATATGCTGATAACCTCCAAATCTATACCCAACTCCAGGCACAATGTTTCCACATAAATGTCCCATGAACTTCTTAAACTACGTATCTGTAATTTTCACTCGTAATTGCTAAACAAGAAATGTCTGTTGTTGTCTTACTCCTTATTCATCCTCACATACCACACCAAAACCTACAAAAATCCCAATTTTTTTTTCTGAGATATAGTCTAAATTCATCCACTCCTCTGCATTCCTGTTACGCCACTTTACAACACTCTTACTCATTAAATACATACTGCAAAAGCTTCCTAGTTGGACTTTCAGGAACAGTGTTGACACCATATAAACTATTCTTTTACAGCAAATTGATGTTTGGTTTTTAGGCACATCTTGTCTCTCACACACCTGCTTTATATTCCTTTTTTTTAATACTTTAAGTTTTAGGGTACATGTGCACAACGTGCAGGTTTGTTACATATGTATACATGTGCCATGTTGGTGTGCTGCACCCATTAACTCGTCATTTAACATTAGGTATATTTCCTAATGCTATCCCTCCCCCCTCCCCCCACCCCACAACAGTCCCCGGTGTGTGATGTTCCCCTTCCTGTGTCCATGTGTTCTCATTGTTCAATTCCCACCTATGAGTGAGAACATGCGGTGTATGGTTTTTTGTCCATGCGATAGTTTGCTGAGAATGATGGTTTCTAGCTTCATCCATGTCCCTACAAAGGACATGAACTCATCATTTTTTATGGCTGCACAGTATCCCATGGTGTATATAATAACTTCCAATTTTCCTTAAATTCCAAGAGGTTTAAAGGCCCTATGCTATTAAGAAGGTGTTAGTTGGCAGGGCGCTGTGGCTCATGCCTGTAATCTCAGCACTTCGGTAGGCCAAGGAGGGGTGGATCGCCTGAGGTCAAGAGTTCGAGACCAGTCTGGCCAACATAGTGACCCCATCTCTACTAAAAATACAAAACAAAATTAGCTGGGCATGGTGGCAGTCACCTGTAATCCCATCTACTCAGGAGGCTGAGGCAGGATAATCATTTGAACCCAGGAGGTGGAGGTGGAGTTTGCAGTGAGCTGAGATCGCACCATTGCACACCAGCCTGGGCAACAAGAGTGAAACTCTGTTTAAAAAAAAAAAAAAAAAAGATGTTACTCATAATTTAAAAAGTTGATTTTTTATGTGTGTAGTAGTATAACATTGTTTAATTTGCAATTGAACATCTTTTTATATGCTTATTTGCCATCTCTATATTTTCTTTGATGAGTTAAGATCTTTTGTCCATTTTTAAATTTTGAAACAGAGTCCTTAATTAGGTACCTCTTTTGTAAATATTTTCTTCCTATCTATGGCTTGTCTTTTCATTTTCTTAACAAGTCCTTTCTCAGAGCAGAATGATCTTATTTTAATAAAGTCTAGCTTTTCAATTATTTATTCCACGGAATGTGCTTTTGGTGTCATATTTAAAAAATCATTGTCAAGCTTAAGGTCATCTAGATTTTATCCTATGTTACCTCCTAAGAGTTTAATAGTTTGACTTTTAGATATAGGTCTATGATCCATTTTGAGTTAATTTTTTAAGATTTGTACCTAGAATCATTTTTGTGTGTGTGTAAGAATGCTCACTTATTCCAGCACCATTTGTTGAAAGCAGTTTCTTTTCCCCATTGTATTGCCTTTATTCCTTTGTCAAAGATGAGTTGACTACAGTACTTTTGGTCTAATTCTGGATTCTCTATTCTGTTGTATTGATATATTTGTCTATTCTTTTCCCTGATATTATACTGTCTTGATTACTGTGGCTTTACAGAAGAATTACAGTTGGGTAATATCTCTCCTCTTCAATGATCTTTTAATTCATTTCCTTTTTTTTTTTCATTCCTGCCTCCCCATGCCAATTTCATTCCTTAGAGAACTCTGAGAGTAATTCTTTTAAAAATAAGTGAAACAATATAACTTGCCTACAGAAAAACTTTCAATAAGTTCCTTTTCTCTTAGAATAAAATATATGATTAACACAATCATCCGAAGGCCCTGCATTATCTGACCTCTGCCTTCATCTTTAGCTTTGTAGTCACCCACATCACTCTTTCCTCACAGTCATTTTGACTTTTTAAAATTTCTATTATATAACAAAATATTTCCCCTCAATGGGTCTTTATACTTGCTTTTGGGGGTTTCTGATGTTGTTTCCTTCTCTATTAGCCTGGCGGTTTTCTACTCATGTATAATTCAAGTCAAGTCTCCTTCAAAAAGAAGATCTTCTGAACACATAATTTTGTTCCTTCTTTTTACATAGTGTGAATACAGTTATGCATAATATAATGATGAAGATGCATTCTGAGAATTGTGTTGTTAGTCAATTCCATCATTGTACAAACAGCATAGATGTACTTACACAGCTAGATATTATAGCCTACTACACACCCAGACTATATGATATATCCTATTGCACCAAGGCTACAAACCTGGGAAGGATGTTATTATACTAAATCCTTTAGGCAATTGTAACACAATGGTATTTGTGTGTTTAATCACATTTAAACATAGAAAAGGTACAGTAAAAATAAAATATATAAAATGAAAAATGGTATACCTGTATGGAGCACTTACCATGAAGTGGTAAGTAGGACTGGACATTGCTCTGGGTAAGTCGGTGAGAGAGCGGTGAGTGACTGTGAAGGCCTAGGACATTATTGTGCACTACTGTATATTTTATAAGCAGGGTACTCTTAGGCTACAGTAAATTTATAAAAATATTTTTCTCTCTTCATTAATAAACTAATCTTCTAACCTTAGCTTATTGAATTTTTTTTTTTTTTGAGACAGAGTCTCCCTCTCTCTCCCAGGCTGCAGTGCAAAACGGTGCGGTCTCACATCACTGCAGCCTCCACCTCTCAGGTTCCAGTGATTCTCCTGTCTCAGCTTCCCAAGTAGCTGAGATTACAGGCGCATGCCACCATTCTAGGCTAATTTTTTGTGTATTTTAGAAGAGATGGAGTTTCACCATGATGCCCAGGCTGGTCTTGAACTTCTGAGCTCAGGCAATCCGCCCTCCTAGGCCTCCCAAAGTGCTGGGATTACAGGTGTGAGCCACCGCGTCTGGCCTGAAAGTTTTAAACATTATAAACTTCATATTTTTTAAACTTTTGACTTTTGTAATAATATTTAGTTTAAAACAAACAAATTGTGTAGCTATACAAAATATTTTTCTTTCTTTATATCCTTATTCTTTAAGCTTTTCATGTTATCAATTTTTAAAATGTTTTACTTTTTAAACATTAGTTTGTCATTAATGCATCGCTCTAAAATATGACTATGACAACCCTAGGCAATAGCAATTTTTCAGCTCCTTTATAATCTTATAGGACCACTGTTGTATATATAGTTCAGTGTTGACCAAAATGTTTTTATGTGATTCAAGACTTTATTTGTTGAAGGTTTTTTTTCTTCTTATCACTAAGATCAGTGAAGCAGTTCATTATGCTCAGACTGTAACACAACAAAATATAGATGATTATTTAAATATCTAATTTAATGAATGAGTACATTTTGAATGTTAAAAAATGAAAATTACATCTCTAACGCATTAATCTTCCAATAGATTATTTTTCATGATTTACAATCTGTGGAGGCATCACACAAGTATCTTGTCTTCTGAATTTCAATCATTTCTGAATTAGTCACTTTAACTAAGATAAAACATAAGACGATTCATACTACTTTGTTCAAATTCTCCACTGGCTTCCCATCTCACTCAGAGTACAAGCCAACAGTCTCACAATATGGCCCTTGGTTACTGTCTCTCTGATCTTGCCTCTCTCTTCCTCATTCCATCCTTTACAGTCCTAAAACGCACCAGTCACCCTTTTCTCTCAGACTACTTAGAGCTGCTTTTCTGCTTTCCTGGAATGTCCCAGAAATTTGTATGTTTCTGTGCTTCATCAAGTTCATTACTCAAATTGTGATCTTCTCTGTATTACCTTTCCTTGCCATGTGAGCTAATAATGCAATCTTGATCTCACAACTCATTTGGATATGAACTTTTGGAATTCTGTATATTGGTGTGCAGGGATGTGTTGGCATGTGTATATTTGCAAGCTTTTTGTTTCAGAATGATGGCATAAGACACGAATATATCACTATGTGGCTCAATGTGAATAGTGTAACTGGTGCATTTTTATTTTATATTTTTGGGTAAAATACCATGCCTCAAAAAAATGATAGAAAAACATACACTAGAGGATTAGCACCAATTAGAAAATGTGTTATTTAATAAATTGATGAAAAATATGGAAAAATAGAAAGGTGCTCTGAGGTAGTAGTCATCTTTTAAATATTCTTTAGATTGTAAGTGTAATCAGTAGCATAATTAATGAATTATAAATTTTTATAAATATATTCTTCATATTTTAATATCTTTGACAAATAACTATGTTTTAGAATAGGTTTTCAGTCTTGACTAAATGCAAAGAAAATTGTTCTATGACTTATTGTAGTCTTTTCCATCAGTATAATTGTGTGAAGTACTATTCTTTGGAGGACGTATAAGAAAATAAGCAAAAGATTAGCAGCAAATTCTAGCATAAGTGGATTAGCCATCTGAGCAGTCTTGAAGGTAATCCTTTTTATTTGGGAGAAAAACATCTAATTGGAGAATTTATACATCTGTGGTATTAGCTTTATTAACAAAAGAAAATTGATAAAAGCAACGAGTCTCAATTCCATTTCTGGAATATTAACATTATTTCAGTATTTGGGCTTGAAAGTTATCCTTGTAACTATGTGTGAAGTCTTAAAATTAATCACACGATTGTTTGTATGTACAGAACAATTGCTGGCCCTTTATCTCAACTATAATTTACTGGAAGTTTATGAATCTCATGTTTAAATTCAGAGTAAAATTTAATCCTAACCAATATACAAATTTATCAGCTCCATAATTTAAATGGTTGCTTTTTTACCTTTATTCTTTAAAGAACAATTGTCCCTGCTGGGCTCCAAACTGGTATAAGGAGATAATGTAATGAGGCTTTTATGATCTTCTGATGTAGATAAGGGAACCTAAGGCCTCTTTCTGGTCCTTAGGTGTGGGTGATGTGATAATGTTTGAGACATGAACTTCTCAGGACATTGTGCTGCCATTCAAGGTTGGTATGTGGGACTACTGTTAAAGGAACTCCTTGAGCTTGATAGATAGAGCCTGTTGGCAGCTCGTTGGAAGGCATGGCCTTTCTTTAGCTCTAATGAAACACTATCATGTTCTCTATGCATCCCTTTGGTCTATGATATTCACTCATGTACATTTCCTTAGTAGACTTTCTAGACCTAAATGCAGCAATCTGAGTAAGTTTTTAACACATAATTTAAGGATAGTGCAACTACATTCAACACATTTTCATCCCAACATGTCATCTTCTTATCTCTACAATAGATTCAAGGGAATCCATATTGCCTTGAGTTGACCAGGAACCAAAGTCTTCTGAGTACCAAGACACATACAAATGGATTTATACCTTTTTCTCCTACTCAAAATTTCAGATAAAAAAGGAAGAAATATTATCTTATATCTTCCTTCCTTACCACTCAAGCTCTTTGGTTAATCCTTTCAGACACATTAATTTATTTATATTAAAGAACTCATCATTTATTTTTCCAATTGTGTATCAAGCTTTACTAAAGCAGCACATACATATTAAAACACATTGTCTTTGTTTAGGGATAGATTTTTTTCAGGTCAAATATCTTTCTAAAGACATTGAAATTCCACGTTCTTAAGCTTTTGGGTGATAATATTTATGATTTCACCTCAGTACTGAAAGAGCACAAAGAAACATCAAGAGTTAGATTAAACTGCATCCATGTAATTTTTTTTAGTACTTTCTCTAGTATAAATCTTGCTGACTCTACAAAGTCTAGCTTCAGAAATTATAGACCCCCAATAAAGTGGGAGCTAGATCTTTATTCCGAACTAATTTGCATCCCTGAGGCACTTCATGTTTTTCTTGATCAAACTGGTTACTGAGTTTTACCTTATATCTAGTCAGATCCTCAGAATAATGTTTTTTTAAAATAAAGGTCATAATCCATTTTATTTGTCATTAAATTAAATTTATGTGATTCAGTTGAAAGAAAAAGAGAAAGGAAAGAAAGAAGTAAAGAAGGAAGGAAAAAGAAAGAAAGAAAGAAAGAAAGGAGAGAAAGAAAAGAGAAAGACAGGGAGGACAGTAAATATAAAGAGAAAAAAGAGGAAGAAATGAAGAAAGGGAAAGAAAGAAAAAAAGGAGAAAAAGAAGGGAAGAAAGCTGGAATAATGAAAAAGGAAAAATAGAGGAAAGAATAAAATAAAATAGAAATGCGATGAGTAACATAATTTTTTTGTTTCAGTCATATACATATTTCTGAGTGAAATTTTATAGTGTGTGTGTGTGTGTGTGTGTGTGTGTGTGTGTGTATCATGAATAATAAGCATGACATTATGAGGGATTTTAGTTAAAACCAGAAGTATAGATTTATGAGTCAGTATCTCAGTACCAATCTCTTTCCTCGTTCCCCTTAGGTTGTGCTTTTCATTTCTGTCCTACAGTCTGATTAGAAAGGGATGCATACCATCTGGTTGAGATTACAAGAAACAGCATGGTATCATCTTCTGACTGCCTGGAATCTCTCAAAGTAACTTTGCCTAGTGGATGATTAATTTGTAGTCTCTTTCTGTCTCTCACGATTGATTTCCTTTTTCAATGCACTGTCTATATACAGTTCACAGCTCATTTTAGCCTGAAACACCACTATTGGAATTGGGTCTTCCTCATTAATAAGTTATGGCCAAGATATATTTGTATGACATCAAACCCACCAAACAGGAAACTACTTCAATCCAACCCAGATATAATACTAGCCTATCATTATTTTTCATCTCAGTATAACATGCAATTTATGTATACCTATTAGTCATCAGGGACCTGGTTTCCTCATCATTATATTAAGGGGCTTAAATTATCTTAAACTCTATTATAGTTTACCTTGTTTCTCAACTAACCAATAGTAACAAGAATCCAAAATTCCACAGTGGTAGATTTCCATCTTACCCCACCCCACCCACACAAAATATTTAGATTTGTGTGCTTAACATAGGTTACTTTGATAGATGAAGCAATTATATTTGGTAGTAAAGGCAAATAGTTTGTTGGTGATTGATAGAATAAGAAGAATGCTGTGGCAAGTAACAGAGATAATCAGGTAATAGCAAAGCAGAGGGTCTGAGGCCAGAAGAGTTAATAATTTCAAAGTGGGTCAGGATGGGGGAGGGCAAGATGGCCGACTAGAGTCAGATACGTGGAAGAGCTTTCACAGAGGGACTGAGATGACAGGTGTGCTTTTAAAAGCTCTTCAAAGGAAAGAAGCCAAGAGTCGACAGAATAAGACAGAAGTTGAGCTCAAGGGGGAAAAATCTGGGAACTCTGCAGGGGCTATTGAGCACTGGGACTCATTTTTGAACCACAACAGCTCCAGGGGAATGGGTGAGTTGAACTGGCAAGGAGCAACCTGCTTTCGCCATGGGCCTTTGGATCCCTGGCAGGAGGGGATCCCTCAAACACCAAGGACACATGAATTGGCAAGGGGAGCTGCATAGAGAAGTTCTGGGGCAGCAAGCCAGCTGATATGGAGCACAGATGATTTGGTGTGGGTGTGTCTGTAGTGCAACACCAGGAATGGCCATCCTTCTAGGCTCAACTTGCTCCCATAAGAGACTTTAGCCCTAGAGTAACAGTCAAACCTGATCTCTGCAGGGTGGCCTTGCACATCAGATGGGGCTGGTCTCACCTAAACACTCCTTAGTCTGCTGACCTCTTCCAGGCCACAGCCTGGCCACACGTGCTTATAGGGCAGTCTCAGATGTTCTGAGGGCCCTCAGTATAGCTTCAGCACCTGTGGATCATGCCTGGGGAGAGCTCCAGTGAGGCAGTCCCTGGAACCACATACCAGCCTGCACATTCCCTCTCCATACTGTACAACAACTACACCCATCACTTTGCTGGCCTGCATCTGCGTGGGTGGGTTTTTCTTTTCTTGCCCTGTAAGTATTCAGAAGTGTAGTCTACCCACCCCCAACTGCCATTGCGGATGAAGCCTTGGTGGGCGGAGAGCTAGCAAGCCCCACCTCCACCAGCATCTGACCCTTATGCTAATGCTACACAGAGAACAAGGGATCCTCTCACACACTGTGTGATTACTCTAGTTTGTGGGGCACAGAGAAGGCACCCAGATTTATGCTGCCTAGCACATCAACCCAAGCCAACTCTACCTCCAGTGCAACAGTGCACACAATCTCTAGCAGGGACCCCCTGCTCCCACCCCCCAATCATCCGTTTTGCCTCCCCCACTGTGGTGAGTGCCCAGAAGGAGGCAGGAACCCCTGCATCCACTAGCACTCTACTGCAGCTGCCTCACCTCAGCAACGCCAGCACAATGGACTCCAAACCTTGAGGAGCCAGAGAAAAACATGGGAGTCAAGTACAAGTTCCTCAAAGAGCACTCAGTCCAGGAGTTGGGAACTGAGAGTTGGCCCTCTAAAATTTCCCAGAAATGAAGCCAGTTGACTGAATCTACCTTATACCACAGTCAAACCCTCCAGGTCATCAAATAGGATAAAAGAAAATAAAAAACATCCAAACGTCAACAGCCCCAAAGATTGAAGGTAGATAAGCCCATAAATATTATAGTCAGTGCAAGAATGCTGAATCCAAAAAGCCAGAATGCCTTATTTCCTTCAAACGACCACATCACCTCACCAGCAACAGGTTGAGACTGGGCTGAGGCTGAGATGGCTGAAATGAGAGATGTAGAATTCAGAATATAGACAAAAACAAAGTTCACCGTGTTGTAGGAGTATGTTGAAACCCAATGCAAGGAAAATAAAAATCATGATACATTGCAGGAGCTGACAGACAAAATAGCCAGTACAGAGAAGAATGTAACTAATCTGAAAGAGCTAAAAAACACACTACAAAAATTTCATAATTCAGTCACAAGCATTAACAGTAGAATAGACCAAGTGGAAGAAAGAATCTCAGAGCTTAAAGACTGCCTTTCTAAAATAAGACAGGCAGACTAGAATAAAGAATACAGAATGAAAGAAAATGAATAATACATTAGGATTATGTCAAGAGACAATATATGACTGATTGGTGTACCTGAAAAAGATGGGGAAAACAGAACCAACTTGAAAAATATATTTCAGGCTATCATCCATGAGAATGTCCCCAAGTTGGCTAGAAAGCTAACATTGAATTTCAGGAAATGCAGAAAACCCCAGTCAGATACTTCACAAGGAGATCATCCCCAACACACATAATCAGCAGATTCCCCAAGGTCAAAATGAAAGAAATAATGTTAAGGGCAGTTAGAGAGAAAGGTCAGATTGTGTACAAAAGTAAGCCCATCAGACTAACAGCAGACTTCTCAGCTGAAACCCTAAAAGCCAGAAGATATTCGGTGCCAATGTACAACATTCTTAAAGAAAAAAAGTCCATCCCAGAATTTCATATCTGGCCAAGCTAAGCTTCCTAAGTGATGAAGAAATTAGATCCTTTCACATAAGCAAATGCCGAGGGAATTTGTTACCTCCAGACCTGTCTTACAAGAGCTCCCTAAAGAAGTATTCAATATGGAAAGGAAAGATCATTACCAGCCAGTATAAAACCACAGAAGTGTACAGAACAGTATACAGAACAGTAAAGCAACCACATAAACAATTCTTCAAATAACCAGCTAACATCATGATGACAGGATAAAACCCACACGTATCAATACTAACCTTAAATGTAAATGGGCTAAATGCCCCAATTAAAAGACACAGAGTGACAAGTTGGATAAGGAACTAAGAGCCATTGATATGCTGTCTTCAAGAGACCCATCTCACATGCAATGATACACATAGGCTCAAAATAAAGGGATGAAGAAAAATCTACCAAGTAAATGGGAAACAGGAAAAAAGCAGGAGTTGAAGTACTAGTTTCTGACAGAACAGACTTTAAACCAACAAAGATTAAAAAAGACAAAGAAGATTGTTACATAATGAAAAAGTGTTCCATTCAGCAAGAAGACCTAACTATACTAAATATATATTAACTCTTTCTATAATAAGGCAGGCAGACAAGAATAAAGAAAAAAATGAAAGGAAATGGATAAAACGTTTAAGAAATATGGGATTATGTAAAGAGACTGAATCTATGACTGATTGGTGTACCTGAAAGACATGGGGAAAATGGAACCAACTTGGAAAACATATTTCAGGATATCATCCATAGGAACTTTCACAACCTAGCTAGAAAGGCCAAAATTGAAGTTCAGGAAATGCAGAAAACCCCAGTCAGCACCCAGATTCATAAAGCTAGTTCTTGAAGAACTTCAAAGAGACTTAGACTCCCTCAGAATAAGAGTCAGAGACTTTAACACCCTAATGACCATATTATACAGATTATCGAGACAGAAAATTAACAAAGATATTTAGGACCTGAACTCAGCATTGGATCAAATGGACCTGATGCATAGCTATAAAACTCTCCACCCAAAACCAACAGAATATATTTTTTTTATTACTACATGGCACATCTACCATTGACCAGATAATCAGAAGTAAAGCCCTCCTCAGCAAATTTGAAATAACTAAAATAACAAAAAACAGTCTACACAGTGCAATCAAATTAGAGCTGAAGACTAAGAAATTCACTAGAAACCATACATTTACATGGAAACTGATTATCCTGCTGCTGAGTGACTTTTGGGTAAATAATGAAATTAAGGCAGGAATTACGAAGTTCTTTCAACTAATGAGAGCAAAGATACAACATACCAGAATCTCTGGGACACAGCTAAAGCAGTTGTATGAGGAACATTTATAGCCCTAAATGCCCAAATCAAAAAGTTAGGAAGATCTCAAGTTTGCAACCTAACATCACAACTAAAAGAATCAGAGAACCAAGAGCAAACAAATCCCAAAGTTAGCAGAAGACAAGAAATAACCAAAATTGGAACTGAACTGAAGTATATTGAGACATGAAAAATCATTCTGAAGATCAACCAATCCAAGAGCTGTGTTTTGGAAAATAAATAAATAAACCTCAACCTAGACTAGTGAAGAAATAAAGGAGAAGATTTAAATAAACACAATGAGAAACATCAAGGAGGATATTACCACTGACCCTACAAAAATACAAGCAACCATCAGAAAATATTATGAACAACTCTGTGCACATAAACTAGAAAATCTATAACAAGTGGATATATTTCTGGACACATACACTCTCCCAGAACTGAAACAGGAAGGAAATAATTGAACCATGAACAGAACAAGCTCTGAGATAACAAGCTCTGAGACTGAGGCAGTGATAATTATCCTACCAACCACAAAACTCCCAACCACAAAACTCCACAGGACCAGGTGAATTCAGAGCTGAGTTCTAGCAGATATACATTCCTACTGAAGTTATTCCCCAAAAAAATTGAGGAGGAGGGACTCCTCCCTAACTCATTCTACAGGGTGAGCATCTTCCTGATACCAAAACCTGGCAGAGGTACAACAGAAAAAGAAAACATCAAGGCAATATTGATGATGAACATCAGTGCAAAAATCCTCTATGAAATACTGGCAAGCTGAATCCAGCAGCACATCAACAAGCTTATCCAATGCAATAAAGTAGCCTTCATCCCCAGGATGCAACATCCACAAACCAGTAAATGTGATTCATCACATAAACAAAACTAAAGACAAAAATCACATTATTATCTCAATAGATTCAGAGAAAGCTTTCAATAAAATTCAACATCTATTCATATTAAAATCTCTCAATAAACTAGGTATTGAAGAAACATACCTCAAAATAATAGGAGCCATCTATGACAAATCCACAGTCAACGCCATATGGAATAACAAAAGCTGGAACCATTCCCCTTGAAAAATGGCACAAGACAAGGATATCCTCTCTCACCACTCCTATGTAACATACTATTGGAAGTCCTGGCCAGGGCAATTAAGCAAGACAAAGAAATAAAGACATCCAGATGGAAAGACAAACTTTCAAACTATCCCTGTTTGCAGATGACATGACCCTATATCTAGAAAACCCCATAATCTTAGTCCTAAAGCATCTTAAGCTGATCATAAACTTCAGTAATGTCTCAGGATACAAAATTAATGCATAAAAATCACTAGCATTCCTATATAACAACAACAGTCAAGCCAAGAGGAAAATCAGGAACATACCCCCATCTACAACTGCCACAAAAAGAATAAAATACCTACAAATACAGCTAACCAGGCAGGTGAAAGATCTCCACAAGGAGGACTACAAAGCACTGTTCAGAGAAATCAGAGATGACACAAACAAATGGAGAAACTTTGCATACTCATGGATAGGAAGAATCAATATCATTAAAATGACCATAATGCCCAAAGCAATCTGTAGATTCAATGCTATTCCTATTAAAACACCATTGAGATTCTTTGCAGAACTAGAAAAAAACTATTTTAAAATTCATATAAAACCAAAAAAGAGACTACATAATCAAGGCAATCTTAAGCAAAAAACATAAAGCTGGAGGCATCACACGACTTGACTTCAAACTATACTACAGTGCTACAGTAACCAAAATAGGATGGTACTGGCACAAGAACAGACACGTAAGACCAATAGAACAAAATAGAGAACCCAGAAATAAGACTGCATACCTACAACCATCTGTTCTTTGACAAATCTGACAAAAACAATTGACGAAGAAAGGATTCTCTATTCAATAAATGGTGCTGGGATAACTGGCTAGCCATATGCAGAAGACTGAAACTGGACCCCTTTCTTATAGCATATACAAAAATTAACTCAAGATGGATTAAAGACTTAAATTTAACACCCAAGACTACAAAAACCCTGGAAGACAACCTAAGTAATACCATTCAGGACAAAGGAAGGA
Source organism: Homo sapiens (assembly GCF_000001405.40). Lineage (NCBI taxonomy): Eukaryota > Metazoa > Chordata > Mammalia > Primates > Hominidae > Homo > Homo sapiens. Next base: position 84,036,747 of record NC_000003.12, read on the forward strand.
ACAAAGATTTCATGATGAAGATGCCAAAGGCAATTTTGACAAAAGTAGAAATTGAAAAATGGGATCTAATTGAACTAAAGAGCTTCTGCACAGCAAAATAAACTGTCAATGGAGTAAACAGAATGGGAGAAAGTTTTTCAAACTATGGATCTGACAAAATTCTGATATCCACGTCTGTAAGAAACATAAACAAATTTACAAGAATAAAACAAACAAACCCATAAAAAAGTGGGCAAAGAACATGTACAGACACTTTTCAAAAGAAGAGCTACATACAGCCAACAATCATATAAAAAAAGCCCAACATCACTGATCATTAGAGAAATGCAAATCAAAACTACGAGATACCATCTCACACCAGAATAGCTATTATTAAAAGTCAAAAAATAACGTGCTGGTGAGATTTGGGGAAAAAAGGGAACACTTTTACACCGTTGGTGGGAGTGTAAATTAGTTAAAACATTTTGAAGGATAGTGTCTTGATTCTTCAAAGGCCTAAAGGCAGAAATGCCATTCGGTCCAGGAATCCCATTACTGGCTATACATCCAATGGAATAAAAATCATTCTATTATAAAGACATATGCATACATATGTTTCTGGAGGCATTATTCACAATAGCAAAGACATAGAATCAACCTAAATGTCCATCAATGATAAACTGGGAAAAGAACATTTGGTACATATATTCCATGGAATACTATGAAGCCATAAAAAAGAACAAGAATATGTCCTTTTCAGAGACATGGATGGAGCTGGAGGCCATTATTCTTAGCAAACTAATGCATAAACAGACAACCAAAGACTGCATGTTATCATTTATAAGTGGAAGCTAAATGATAAGAACAAATGGACACAAATAAGGGAACAACACACACTGGGCCTATTGGAGGGTGGAGAATGGAAGGAGACAGAAAATTAGGAAAATAACTAATAGGTACTAGACTTAATATCTGGGTGATGAAATAATCTGTACAACAGACCTCCATGAAACATGTTTATGTAACAAACTTGCACATGTACTACTGAACTTAAAAGTTAAAAAACAGAAACTAGTTCAGGTAAAAAGAAACATTAAGCAGTAATGAACAACAAGTTAAAGAACATTAATACCAGAGAAAAAGGCAAAATGTTTTTCTCTGACTGACATCATAGTTTTCAATTTGTTGAGGCATATTTAGAGACAATCACAGTATGCATAATAAAATAAAATTTACAGTTATTGAGTGCTATGTGTTAGGGGAAGAGTGGTATATTCTTACATATAGTACAGAATTTATTTCACACTATGTGCAGTAATTATTTTCTCATTACAGATGAATATACTGGAGTCAAGAACTTTCTCAAGTCCAGTTCTAGAATCTTTTTCTGTTAGCCAAAAGCAACGCTAAATGCATAACCTCTTCCTCCCCAAAATTTACTCCACTTATTCTGTTCTCTTCTCCTACACTTTCTTATCTACTTTAATGGTAGGAAAAGGGGAATATTAATTAATCACACACCAGTAGTCAAAGCCCTTTATTATTTGTTTTTATGATTATTCATTAATATAGGGCCCTCTCATTTGATTTTTTTTTTTTTTTACTTCATCCTGGATCTCTTTCTCTGTCCACAATCCAGATATCTATTTTACTGTGTTTAATATATGTTTTTAGAAATGTATGTATATTTTTAAATACTTAGTATTTTTTCATTTGTGTTTGAGTGTTTATGTAAATTGTTGACTGCATTAATTTTCAGTAACTGTTTAGACCAACAAGAGCTAATGTCATCTTTGACTCTACCTGATCTCTTAGCCCATACTTTTGTGTGTGTGTGTGTGTATGTGTGTGTGTGTGTGTGTGACAGAGTTTCGCTCTTGACCAGGCTGGAGTGCAATGGCGGGATCTCAACTCACTGCAACTTCCACCTCCCGGGTTCACACAATTCTCCTGCCTCAGCCTCCCAAGTAGCTGGGATTACAGGCATGTGCCACCACGCCTGGCTAATTTTTTGTATTTTTAGTAGAGACAGGGTTTCATCATGTTGGCCAGCCTGGTCTCAAACTCCTGACATCATATGATCCAGCTGCCTTGGCCTCCCAAAGTGCTGGGACTATAGGCATGGACCACCGCACCCAATCAGCCCATACTTTCTATTCCTGTCAATTCAGTCCTCAATATCCCTGACAATTATTCCATTTTCTCTGTTTTAAGTGCTGTGCTGCAGATCTGGTCGTCATTATTTTTTGTAATAATCTTGTAATTACTGTGATGTTAGAATTAACTCCTTCTCCAATCTTATTTCTGCTTTCCATTTGGGCTCATTGTCTAAATAAATGACTCACTTAGATTTGATTCTGTACAGCAAATCCTAACTTGGAAATTTGTCTGCAAACCATTCACTGAGAATGTGCTCTCTGGAGAAGAAACATGATGAATACAAAATAGGTTGAGAGACAAGGGCTGAACCAGGATGTGCTCTCAGCTCCAGCCTACATTCCAACTGATTCCCAGGGGTGTGCTACAGCATGAACTTCTCCACAGGGTTAGTTCCCCCCTCAGACAAGCCTTGTATATTTCTATCTTAGTCAGTCGTTGTGGTTGTTCAGTCTCATAGGGAGTAAGGAGAGTGAGGACCTGGTAAGCAGATCGTCATGGCTGAGGGAGTTTCTCTGAAGATTGGCCACGGGGAGCCATGTGTGGCTAACAAAGCAACAGCAGCAGCAGTACTAGGAAGGAAAAAATTTCACTACTCAGAAACAGCTATCTGGGCAGTGTATCAACCACAGCCACTACAGCATCCAAGTGATTTTCTAAAACCCTTTAGCTCCCCTAATTACAATCCATCAGTAGTTTCCTACAGGCTACAACATTAATTCCAAATTATTTATGATTGCATACTTTTTTCCCTTTCATTGTATCCATCCTTACAATCTACACATATAGATGTATTTGTAGTTTTTAAAGCACCGTCTTCTACGTATATTTTGTATACTTTTTGGACAGATGGCTTTATCTTCAAAGAACTGTATTTGAAGATTTGAACACCTAATGACCTAGTTAATTTCAGCTTTTTAAATCTAGCTAAGATTTGACTTCCTCCTACATACCTAACCATATTCCCAAAGTCCTAACCTCTGCCTTAATCCTGCTCTTTCTATAAGCTCCTCTAGCATTTATAATTCTGTTATAAGTATCTGCTTACCATTCTCTCATCTCAGTAAGCAATTATTTCCTTATGATCAGAAGCTGTGATTTTTAATCTTTTTATTATACATCTTGACACATAATATTCAATATACCTTTTCTTAAATAAATGCATTAATGAGGTTTATGGATTAAAATGCTCAAATTAAAAACCAAATAAAGAAAAAAGTAGAATGCATTCCCATGCTATGAACTCAGTTTCATCAGATTCTCACATGTACAACCAACTTTTATTTAAAAACAAAAAGGTCTCGGGATTCTTACACTATGGTATCTGAAATTAGGTGACTCTTAATTTATTGGCAATATAATATTATCTCATGAATGTGTATTCAGACACATCATATATATAAAGTGGAAGATACCTAAATATGTGTTTGTGTCTCTAGGGCGTCCTCCTGGATCACATGCAGTTCAACACGGCTGGAATGCTTATTCCATGATTGTTTGATTTTTCTCCAATAATAAATTAAATTTCTAAATAGTACTAGTTCAGCATTATGCTACAATCAATTATAGCTACTATTATGGTTGTTTGCACATGAATGGCCCCACATTTATTCATCTAGCTTTTAATTGTGCTTGTTTCCACACTTCTAGCCTATAGTCCACTGAAGGAGCAACAGGTAAACTAGTTAACTTTCCTGCAGTTATTGTCATACTTTTTTCCATTATATACATTGTATACAACATGCATATCAATATAAATTTTCAGAGATTCTCACTCAAAATCACTATGAAGTATATGTATATATGTATATTCATGTATATACATATGGATATATGGATATATGGATATGTAATATCCAGCATGGCTATGAGGATAGCATATAGCTCTTCATGTAAGAAAACTGATACCCTTCAGTTAGATGCAGTTAATATTTTTACCCTAGTCTTCTACGGAATATCTCATTTTTCACTCAAGCTCTCTGCCATTATCTGATCCTTTTCTCTTTTTCAAATTAGCCCAAGTTAAAACGATCATTTTCTTACATTGGTGCTTAGATACTAACTTCATTTTCTGTGTCTGCAGTTACTCACTCATCGAACACAAATGTAGAGACTTCATCAACTGTACCTCTATAGTTCTGTACTGTATAGAACTGCATCTCTCTCTTTCTATAAATCTATAGCTCCTGCTTTTGATAGAAAAAGAATAACATATAACATCTAAGTTGAATTCTACCAGAGCAAGTCTTCTCCACTTTTCAAAATTGATTCTAAGTAACTTCCTAGGTTTATACTTCCAGACGTGCCTCTAGCTTTAGCACCCTGAGGTTTCTCTTTTTAACAGTTTCATCTCCAGTAGGACTGCACAACATAGAAAGGCTTTTGGTATCAAAGTGTTGATAGAAGCTTGAATCTGGTTCAGTACAGGTCACAAGGATAAATGGAGAGTAACCCAGAGATGAGCTTAGCACTAATTAGTGACAGGAGAAGCTGGATAATATTACTTCTTCTGTATGAACATCTGTTTTGTTCAATTGACTACATTACGTGGACATGCTCTTTAATTCCTACAGTTAATATTATGAAACAAGTAGTATTTCCATTTCACAGATGAGGTTTAGCAAGGTTAAACAATTTGTTCATGAACCTGAAGCCTATAAATGACAGGGAATGATCAGCCTCATCCCATCCTTGTAAGTAGGCATTTAAACTGAATTTCTGTGACTAGTTTCCCTAAATCTCTTTAGTCTATTTACCAGGTACTGATATCTTGCCCACTATGTGCCAGTCACTGTTCTAACAGCTTTAAAATATTGAAAGTATTTACTCATAACAGCCATCTAAGTGATACATTATTAACCTCATTGTAAAGAACAGGAAACTAGGACCAGAAATATTTAGTAAATTGTCCAAGATCATGCAGCTTTTAAATGCTGTATTAATTAATTTATTTATTTATTTATTTTTGAGACGGAGTCTCGCTCTGTCGCCGGGGCTGGAGTGCAGTGGCGCGATCTCCGGCTCACTGCAAGCTCCGCCTCCCGAGTTCACGCCATTCTCCTGCCTCAGCCTCCCGAGTAGCTGGGACTACAGGCGCCCGCCACCACGCCCGGCTAATTTTTTGTATTTTCAGTAGAGACAGGGTTTCACCGTGTTAACCAGGATGGTCGCAATCCCCTGACCTAGTGATCCGCCCATCTCAGCCTCCCAAAGTGCTGGGATTACAGGCGTGAGCCACCGCGCCTGGCCTTAAATGCTGTTTTTAAATACACAGACACATGAAAGTAAATATTAATGTTTAGCTAAACATTACACTGTTTTAATAAAGTCATTGCATTTTTCAAAATTTAGTTTTGTTTTAAAATAGATTGATATTCAGCAGTAGACGTTTTTGTTTCAAGTCTGGTTATCAATTGTCCACGCCTGGAAGATATTTACCTTTTAAGCCTTGGTCACTCTAACTGCCACTATCACTATTTCCTTTTGGCAGCTATTAGACTTTCAGGCTGAGAAACTTGGGATTAATAACAGTTTCTAGGAGACGTACATTAGAGATCCAATATATTTCATTGATGACACACGCCCTACTTCCTCAATAACCTTCACTCTAGCCAAGGCTGTCTGTGACTGGAAGAAAGAAATACTTTGCAGCATCTCTAGAACTGCAGGCTGCTGACAAGGACCATTAACTAATTTAGATTTAAGTGTCTGTGGAATTGCTGGCTAGAACTACTACAGCAATGCCATGGGGTAATAAAGGTTTACTTCTATCAGGGAGTCTCCAGAGCTGCCTGTGTCTCATATTTCTTCTTACTGAAGCTAATGCACTGGAAACTTTGTGTGGTGTGTGTGTTTGTTTATAGGAACACATGACATGGTTTGAATAAAATGTAGATTTGATAGTATGCAATTAGGTGAACAATTTATTACATGTATGGCATTAAACAGATCAGAAAGAGTGTGTTATTATTGGTTACATGGGTCCTCTATGATGTTATTTGGTGTGATGCTCTTCACATGAATTGCTCTGACAGTTTTTATGTCTTGTCATTGCATGCTGATGGCAGTGTGCAAATAGGTTTGCCACATAGGAATTACCTGTCCCACAAGTTCATTTTCAACGGCATTCTAAAGATCAACCATCCTTGCAGGAGTTAAGAAAGATTTACAGAATCACTGCAATGCAAATCCTTAGAAAGAAAGGCATAAAAAAACTGACAGCATTGTATAGAAGAGAATATAAAGAAATTCACTATTTTTAAAGTTTCATATTTTAAAAAATATAACTGCTATACAATAAAAATGTAGAAATTAAATTTCCATAAAATCAAATTTTAATGTTTTTCTCCCCACATGTTGAACAGAAGCTACTGATAAATCTTTGTAAGGAGTCTATGCTGGAACTAACAAATAATTGACATTTGTTTAAATGGTGAAATCACCAACACATTCCTTAATATACAAAGAAGTGGTTTACATTTAAAATTATCTGAATGTAGATTACAAAAGAAAAACCTAGAAATTCTCCATTTCTGATATCCACATTTGTTTGGTCATAGAGAACTAAAAAAATTGCTGAAAGAAATACTAGCATCTCATAATATTTTGGTTGAATATATATATATACACGAATGTGTGGGAACATGTACATATATACATATATGTATAGCACAAATTTTTAATGTTTAATTTTGTGCGTATGAGGCAAATCTCATATGGTGTTTCAAAAATAGCTGGACTATTTCCAGAAAAATAAATTTTAGGTGTGCATAAAGAAGAAAACCTCTCAAAAGTCATTGCCTGATTTGTTTCTCTTGGGACAACTGGGGTAATTATATATTTTCTATTACTTCGTGGCTGCCCATGGCATTTTACTATATATCATTGTATGTGCCACAAGGATAAAGCAATATTTATTATTAAATTCCTACTATTTTATTTATGAAAATTTATGGGGTACATAAGAAATGTTTTATATATACAATGTGCAGTGATCAAATCAGGGACCCAATTACAATACATTTTTAAAGTATAGTCATCCTACTTTGCTATCAAACATTGAATTTATTTATTCTATCTTACTGCATGTTTTTACCCTTTAATCCAGCAGTTCCCTACCTTTTTGGCACCAGAGACAAGTTTGTGGAAGACAATTTATCCATAGATGGAGGTTGGGGGTCACGGTTTCAGGACGTTCCATGCACATTATACTTATCGTGCACTCAATTTCTATTATCATTACATTGTAATATATAATGAAATGACAATACAACTCACAATAATGTAGAATCAGTGGGAACCCTGAGCTTGTTTTCCTGCAACTAGATGGTCCCATCTGGGGGTGATGGGAGACAGTGACAGATCATCAGGCATTAGATTCTCATAAGGAGCATGTAACCCAGATTTCTTGCATGCACACTTCACAACAGCATTTGAACTCCTATGAGAATATAATCCTGCTGCTGATCTGACAAGAGGTGGAGCTCAGGCAGCAATATGAGCGATGAAGAGTTGCCGGAAATACACATGAGGCTTTGCTCACTTGCTCGCCACTCATCTCCTGCTGCACAGCCTGGTTCCTAACAGGCCACGGATGGGTACCAGTCTGGGGCCCCAATGTTGGGGATTCCAACTTTAACTCACTTCTCTTCATTCTTTCCCCTCCCCACTCTCCCTTCTCAGTCTCTATTATCTATTTTTCCTTTATCATCTCCATTTGTTCAAATATTTTAGCTCCACATATGAGTGAGAACCTGTGACAGTTGTCTTTTTGTGCCTGACCTAAAGATCAGGTAAAGAAAGGAAATGTAGTGAAAGGAATAATCTAATTCCATTCTAAGAGGCCTAAAAATAGAAATGCTGAGCCTTGAAATATAAACGATTAAAGTCAATTTGGGATATAAGATTACTAGCTTAAACATTTATTAATTAATAGTTTGTTAGTTTTTGAGGGCAGTGGCTTGTTAAAGCAAACTAAATATGGCCTGACAAGGACTCTGTACTTCTATATTTGAGTTCTTGTGGATGCACTGTAACCTAACTTAATAGTCAGACAAAATTCAAAACCTAACTAATAGTATGCGTCTGTAACAATGGCTGAGAGTTGGCCAATCCCAGCAGCCATACTTCAACCATTCATAGACTGCTAAATGTTCAAACTGCGTTCAGATAAGGCAAACATTGAGCTGTAACCAATCTCACTGTTTCTGTACCTCACTTCTGATTCCTGTATGTCACTTTACCTTTTTTGTCTATAAATTTGTTCTGACCATGAGGCACCCCCTAGAGCCTCTGTGAATTTTCTGTGATTCTGGGGGCTGCCCTATTTACAAATCATTCATTGCTCAATTAAACTTCTTTTTTTTTGTTTTGTTTTGTTTCGTTTTTGAGACGGAGTTTCACTCTGTCACCCAGGCTGGAGTGCAGTGGCGCGATCTCGGCTCAATGCAAGCTCGGCCTCCCAGGTTCACACCATTCTCCTGCCTCAGCCTCCTGAGTAGCTGGGACTACAGGTGCCCGCCACCATGCCTGGCTAATTTTTTTTTTTTTTTTTTTAAGTAGAGACAGGGTTTCACCGTGTTAGCCAGGATGGTCTCGATCTCCTGACCTCATGATCCACCCACCTCAGCCTCCCAAAGTGCTGGGATTACAGGCGTGAGCCACGGCGCCCAGCCAATTAAACTTCTTTAAATTTAACTCAGCTGAAATTTTTCTTTTATCAGATGGTGTCAGAAGCGGATCCGAAGTGGAACTTTTAGTGACCCTCAGGAGCACTGAATGAACATGCAAGGAACCTGCAGGACCCACTTGTGTCCATTGATCTCTGGGAGCAGCTGGGATAAGCTCCTTTTCGGATTTCAGAGCTCCATGGACTTGTGTCTTGAGATCCCTGAGTTTCTTTGAGCAAATTTCTGATCCAAAATGGGTTTGGCATCATGGCAGAAACAGGACTGGGTCCACGAATGGATTTGATCCAGGAATGAACTGGCTTGGATCCAGTCAGAGGTCTCTTACATCTGACTGGGTCAGAAAGGAACTGGTAGTAAGCAGTAATATTGCAGAGGTTATAACATTTGGCTTTTAAAAAATAACAGGAATTTTTGTGTTCTACCTCCTATGTTAAATTTTTCTTGTATACTTAGGTAGAAAAAAGTCATTGGCTAAGTTAATCAAGAGAACCTGAGAGTAAAGCCAATATTTTAGGTAAAAATGAGATCCTTAATTTCTGGGAAACTGAGTTCATTCTGGTTTATACTTTAAGCCTGGGAGGCAGCGAAGTCTTGCGGCAAAATCTTACAAAAGATAACTTACAGGGGAACGCTGCAAATGAACAACAATGCATTGAAGTAAATTTAAAAATGATGGTTCTCGGTAAATTCCCATTGGCTAAGAATGGATTTGGCACTTCGGGATGTCAACTGCTATTCTCTTTGGAATAATCTGTCTTGCACTCTTTGATGACGACTATGGGTGACAGGATTAGGGATTTACAGGATCCTGGGACATGGGGAGCTTATTCCTCCCTAAAAGGGGAAACTTGAGAGATGAGGAGACTGCTGGAAAAGAGCCCTTTGCTACCAAGAAGCAACCACCTGAACTTCTCAGTGTTGCTTCAATGTGTGGGTCTTTCTCTGGCCTCCCTGATCATTTCGCCTTCCCCAACCTCCCACAGACTATGCTTTCCTCTCTCTCCTTTCCCTTTCTTATCTTTTCTCTTACTCAGAGGGACCATCTTGCCCAGAGACCACGTGTTGAAACTCCTACTCAGAGGTTGGATTAAAGATGACAGGACCCATCTGAGGGCAAATTTAAGCCTTGCCAATTTGATATTGGGTGCTAAGCAGAGTAGCTAATATCTATGTTTTATCACACGTATTTTGCTCTGGCCAGACTGAAAAAAGATAATTTTTCTTTATGATGCATCTTGGTCCCAGCAGGATGGTGTGGCAAGCTGAGTCACTAAGGCTGCTCAGGGAAAGGGAACCCAGAATCTTGGCATGCCGGCAAAAGGGTAAGAATTTCTTACAAGTCAGGTTTCTGGCTTTTCTCTTTCTGTGCAAGCAGTTGAATGAATGGTAAAAATCACTCTTTATCTCTTCTGTAAAGATTCGATTAATGAGAAAAAGAATTCTGAGGCTAGCCTTAAACTGATGTATTTGTGCTATGAATTTGTTTTTCTGTGTCAAGGAGTACCTTAGGATAAAACATGGACTTAGGTCCCCATAAGCTGGCTGCTCAAGATGGTCCAGCAAGCTGATCAATAACAAACTTTCCCACAGGTCCCTAAAACAAACAAAAAAACTGAATGGGGTCTCCATCTTGATTTATGTCCTTGGGAGCTTGACCTTGTAACCATGTGGCAGTACTTTCTCTTGGTCTCCACCTTCCAGGGAAGAGGAATTTTAGGATTTATGTCATAGTTAGCTCTAAAAATTATCTTTAGTGGTTAAAAGCGTTTGCAAGCTCAAAATTAACTACTCTAGATTCCTTCTGGGAAGAGCAGTGGAGATTGCCCTGTGCTGCTGTAGCTCAGTAGCGAAGGTTTTGCCCTTTCACACTTGCAGTCTGTGTTTGATTCCCTGCTTAGGAAGAAAGTTGTTTTTGGTTTAATATTTGCATGATCTTGTCTAGTCTTTTCTTCTCCAAGGGCTATCTTAAATTTTCCTTTCTCTGAGCACCTGAAAGGTTACCTTTGGTAAAGCTCAAAAGCCAGAAATATTGGCCATTTGACCATTTAAACAAAATTTTAAAAGGACTTTATTAGAGTGCTGCTGTTAAAAGTCAGCTTAATTAAAAGAGGATATTCAAGCTCTAACAGCCTGGACTTCTTGGGAAAACAATGAGGCAGCAGAAACCCCTTTCCTGACCTTGTTCTTCCAAGAACTCCACCACAAAGCCAATAACCAATTAAGAAACTTAAAAACTGGCAAATGAAAAATCTTACAATTACTGTAGTAATCTTCTGTCTGTCTGTGTAATTATATATGCATTGTGTATAATATTTATATAAAATAGCCCTAATTAATTGGCTTAAACAAAAATAAGTGCTTAAATCAAATATTTTAAAAGCAAAATGAAAACTGTAATGCTGCCGGGCGCAGTGGCTTACGCCTGTAATCCCAGCACTTTGGGAGTCCGAGGCGGGAAGATCACCTGAGGTTGGGAGTTTGAGACCAGCCTGGCCAACATGGGGAAACCCCGTCTCTACTAAAAATACAAAAAATAAATTAGCCACACATGGTGGTGGGCACCTGTAATCCCAGCTACTCAGGAGGCTGAGGCAGGATAATCCCTTGAACCAGGGAGGCAGAGGTTGCAATCAGCTGTGATCATGCCATTGCACTCCAGCCTGGGCAACAAGAGCAAAACTCCGTCTAAAAAAAAAAGAAAGAAAATTGTTCAATTTATTTTGGAGACATTAAATTCTAAATAAGACTTGGGGAGATATGGAATTAGCCATGCCCCCTTCCTATGCAAGAAAGGTTATAAAGTAAAACATGTCATATATGGTCTGTGTATGTCATGAAAGAATGTATTAAAAGAAACTTACACCAGAAATGTTGTACAATTTAAAGGTGGCTAGGCCTCCTAAATGCTTCATAAAATGTCACTATGACTCTTAACAGTACAGCTTGCCTGATTTACAGCTAGGTAAGTCCTAGGACATGTGAAGTTAGAGGCTGGAAAGAGTCAGACCTTATCTGCATTTCTGTCTGGGTCCTAGGCGCCACACCTAATACATAATTAAAATCCCTTACTTATCAAGGTTTTCACCAAAAGTAAAAGTCACTAAGAGTTAACATTGTAATATGTAATTGAGACTACTGAAAAAATATGTTTATATACAAGATGTGTAAGGAGAATAAAATGTGTTTTTGTAAGAGATTATATGAAGGTATGGGAATGTAAATTTTTGCCTAGGTTAGAGGGTTAAAAGATTATTTTATATTAAATAAAGCTAAAGGTTTGAACAAGTTGTGGAAGGTTTATAAAAATTAATTGTAAAAGATTCTATGTGTGAACATATTGCCAAAAGTTAAAATGGCATTATTCAAGGGTTTTTTTTTCCATAAATAAGACATTGAAATAAAAGCACAACGAAATATTCTTAGAACATTGTTCTGCTCTGAGAAAAAAAGAAATTGTAAGGGGTTATAAAAGGTTTATGAAAATCTTACCTTATGGTCGAGTTAATTAAAACTGAATAGATTTATAAAATGTTACCAAAAACTAGATTTAACATTAAAAATACACAAATGGAAACATAAAATTTGGCTTTCTCTTTTAAAAACATGTAATATTAAAAGATAATGAAAGGTTTTTGTTTACCTTTTAAGTAAATTACAAAACAAAAAGAGGGGCAGGGAAAGAAAGGAGACAGAGTCAGTTGACCTATGCTCTCTTAATTGAGTCTTGTTTGGAAAGCTGAGTCTCCTCCTTATCCGAATAATGCTTTCTCCTTTTAAAAATTTTCGAGTTATTATTATGGCTAAATGAAAAGCTTATGGTAACCTAAGATTCTATTTTGTAATATCCAATGTTTTAAACCTTTGTCTTAAGCCCATGGTTCACTGAGGACAACTCCTTTGCAATCTAGAACCCAAAGATTGGATCTTCTGAGAACATCAGAGAAAGACTGTCCTTGCCATCCACACTACAGCAAAGCTTTGGAGCCTTGAACCTTGGGTTCATGATCTTACAACTGAGAAGGGCCCCTCCACACTCCTGAACTGTACAACCATTGAAACTCTTAAGGTAAAATTAACTAGGAAAGTTTATCTCCTTAAGAAGATGGCATCCTTGATGTGAACAGCTTTTCCCAAGATCCTGGATCAAAACGTCTACTATCACGAGACTCTTATATTTGAATATATTTTCCGGTTTATGCCTTTAGGAACAATTGAAATGAAAGGGGGATCTATTATGTGCACTTATAGGGTATACTTTTATTTGTGAAGGATTTTGCATCCAGCCTTATATGAATAACCTTGTACTTTAATAGATAAAAGATGAAGGCTCAATGTAGGTGAGAAAATGTAGTGGTACATATGTTGCCTCATAATCAGTCAAAACTCTTCTTAACCCACATAATGGATTAAAGAGAATATTGCCAGGAGGCCTTCGCTTTTCTAAAATGACATCATTTGTTAGGTCCTTTTTCCATAGTTTAGTATAAAAGAGGCAATAATTAGAAATGTCACCCTCATAATAGGCTCTACAGCAAATTCTACTTTAAAGGCTATTGTTACACAACAGACTTTAAATTATCTTGTAAAAGTTATGCTAAATAATAGAATTGGCCAAACAGAAAAGTACCTGTGCAGTTGCTGACACCTGTGGCCTATGGAGAAATACATCAAATGTAGATTATACAATTTCAGTTGTAGGGGATTAATGAAAAGACCACCTAGTCAAGCAAGTAGGCTCTTCATATAGCTCATTCTTTAATCTATTTAATTTTACATGGTTTGGTTTATGGGGACCCTGGGTAAGGAGCACACTCCAAATTTGTTATTATTCTCCCAGTACTCATAATGATAGTCTCCCTGATGTGCTATATTCTCTTAAAGGTTTTAAATGTTTGCATGCAGCCATCTCTAGAACATCAAATGGTCTCTATTCAACCAGAATGACAAAAGCTGAAAGAAATGTGTGACCCTGAGGATATCGTAACCTACGAATGATGTGCTGAGACTGGAAACCCTAAATGATGTTACTGAGAATGGCACTAAGGCCTTAAGTTTTGGTCACACTGTCACCTAAGTGAGAACCTGGCTGAAAAGGGAGAATTTTTAAACAACAAAATTAGAGGAAGCCACTATTTTGGACTGAGCTCATGCACTAGGCCCCAACAAACGAAACCAAGCTAAAATGGAGTCACTCATCCTAAATGTGACATAATCAAACCAAGGCTTTAAGAACACAGATAGATGCTAGAACAGACTACATTTTGTTTTTCTCCTGTAAACAGGATGTCTATCATAAGGAGGTACCGTCTACTCAGTCCTTATTCTCTCCTTGCAAAACCCACTTTTCTACTGTTTCCCAGTGGGTTTCAAACCATATAATACATTTATGATAGTGATATTAACATCAATGACTAAGGTTTTGGTCAATCTCTCAAAATTGAGAAAATGACCAAAAGAGGGAAATGATTGCTAAAGCAAACTAAATATGGCCTGGGAAGAACTCCATAGTCTTATATTTGAGTTCTTGCAGATGAACTGTAACTTAGCTTAATAGTCAGACAAAACTGAAAACCTAACTTAATAGTATGCGTCTGTAACAATGGCTGAGTGTTCGCTAATCCCAGCGGCCATACTTCAACCACTCATAGACTGCTGAAAGTTCAAAGTGCATTCAAATAAGGCAAAAACGGAGCTTAACCAGCCTCACTGTTTCTGTATCTCACTTCCGATTCCTGTATGTCACTTTACCTTTTTTGTCTATAAATGTGTTCTGACCACGAGGCACCCCAGGTCTCTGTGAATCTGTTGTAATTCTGGAGGTGCCTGATTCGCCAATCATTCATTGCTCAATTAAACTCCTTTAAATTTAACTCAGCTGGACTTTTCCTTTTATCAGGTTGAATTTTACATATCTACTTTAGATTTTAATTTCTTCTATAAATTAAAATCTAATCTTCCATAATTTCTGATAAAATGTTTGTTAAATGAACTCAATGCATTGGACAAAAATTTCCTGTTGCTTTTCTTTCAAAGTACATAAATTGATGCTACTTTTTCCACCTTTCTCACATTTTCTCTGTCCCAATCTTACACTGGAGGTTCAATAGTCTTCTTCATGCCTCAAGTTCTTTCTCTTGTAATATGAAAGGCATGTGGCCACTTTCCTTTTCTAATTCTTTCATAAATCTAAACATTTTCACTACCTATTGGTTACTATGCTCACCATCTGGGTGAAGGCATCATTTGTACACAAAATCTATAAAATATACTATTTACTTATGTAAAAAACCTAAACATGTACCTGCTGAACCTAAAATAAAAGTTGAAAAAGAAAAATAAATAAATAATACCTTCCCAGAATATTGCCTATAGGAACAAGTCTAAATTCCTTAATACAGAGTAAAATGGTAATAAAATTCTTGCCCTGATTTTCTTTCTTAGGCCTATGTCATTTCAACACTCCCCATCACCATTCTTCCCCAATCTCTTCCATTTTTTGAGTCTAAAATCCTTAATACATTGAATTTTTGTTCAATATTTGTTATATGCCCAAAACTATGCTAAGCTGCTGGACTCGTGCTCTTTCACAATTCCTTTTCTGTTCCTTTCAGACTAGTGAAATGATACTGATTTTTAATGATCTGTCTTTTCTTGGAAATTTCCTATTTCCAAATGTCAAAAAAAGAACTTATAATTTTTGTCTCTCCATTTCCATAACACTTATCAATGTCACTGACATAGCCCTAATAATTATGAGATGTACATTGTTAGTTACACACATTTCTTGTTTTCCTACTTTTGATGTCTTTAAGGTCAGAGATTGTATTTTACTCGTTTGTATTCCTATCAGAAAAAAAACTGTGGCTTACATGTAATATACATTCAGTAATTGTTTGAATGAAAAATGTATTAAAATAGTATGAGTATCCAAGTTGGTGATTCAATTTAGTTAATCTCTTCTGATACCCCTACCCCAAAAAGGCATATGTAAAAGTGCATAAAATTGTGTGTATGAATATGTAGATCAATAGATAGAAGCATCTGTGAACACAAATAAGAAATTTAGGAAATGATTATCTTAGAAACTCTTTAGCATCAAATCTTATTTATTTATTTATTTATTTGCTATAGCTTTTGGGGAAAAGTTGGATTTTTGTTACATGGATAAGTTCTCTTGTAGTAATTCCTGAGATTTTGGTGCACACTGTACCCAATCTGTATTCTTTATTCCTCACCCCTCTCCCCGCATTCCCCTTGAGTCTCTGAAGTCCCTTATATCATTCTTACGCCTTTGCAGCCTCATAACTTAGCTCCCACTTATAAGTGAGATCATACAAAATTTGGTTTTCCATTCCTGAGTTACTTCACTTAGAATAACTGTTTCCAGCTCCATCCAGGTTGCTGAAAATGCCATTATTTCATTCATTTTTATGGCTGAGTAGTATTCCATGGTGTATATATGCCACCTTTTCTTTATTTACTCTTTGGCCAGTGGACATTTAGGCTGATTTCATATTTTTGCAATTGTGAATTTTGCTACTATACACATGTATGTGCAAGTGTATTTTTCATACAATGACTTCTTTTCCTCTGGGTAGAGACCCAGTAGTGCGATTGCTGGATGAAATGCTAGTTCTACTTCTAGTTATTTAAGGAATCTCCATACTGTTTTCCATATGGGTGGTACTAGTTTACATTCCCAACAGCAGTATAAAAGTGTTCCCTTTTCACCATATTCACGCTAATATTTATTATTTTTTATTTTTAATTATGGTCATTCTTGGATCTCATTGTATTTTCAATTTGCATTTCCCTGGTAATTAGAGATGTTGAGCATATTTTCATGTTTGTTGGCCATTTGGATAACTTTTTCTGAGAATTGTCTGTTCATGTCCTTTGCCCACTTTTTAAGTTTAATTTAATACTAATCCTACTATTATATATATATATATAAGAATAGATAAATATTATTATATACATAACAGTAGGATATAAAAGAATAAATATATTCTTATATATGTAATAGTAGAATATATACATAATAGTAATATATATATATATATATATATATTCTTTTTTAGAGACAGAATCTCACTTTGTTCCCAGACTGGAGTGCAGTGGCACAATCAGCTCACTGGAGCCTTGAATTCCTGGGCTCAAGCAATCCTCCCACATAAGCCTTCTGAGTAATTGCAACTACAGACACTCACTACCTTGCCCAGCTAATTTGGTAGAGACAGGGTCTTGCTGTACTGCCAAGGCTAGCCTTGAACTCTTGGCCTTGAGCGATCCTCTCACCTCAGCCTCCTAAAATGGTAAAATTACTGGTGTTAGCCACCTCACCCAGCATATAAAAATATGATAATATCAAATGTATAGAAGAGATACCCACAGTTATAAAAACCACCATAAAAATACAATTATATATATAAACAAAACTTCTTGGTGAAAAATAAAATTTAATCTTAAATATAACTATTATACTTGTAGTAAATTATTATGTAATCCATATTTTCTGTGGAGCAAGATACAAACTGCTAAAAAGAAACAATCGCAGGATAATTTTTTCCTTGAGAAATAAATTTTTTGCTGTTAATTTTACCAAAAATGAATTGTATGGTGTCCTTTGAGAAATACTTAGAATTTAAGAATGTTAGTTGGCATTTGTGTGAGTGAGGCATGATGTGTGAATACTCATGTTATTTTAGGAGATTTGGAATATTTTGTCTATTATAATCTATGCCCAAGTGATCAACCTTAAGAAGAGTCTTTACAATATATTAATACATAGGATATGAATATAGTTCCTTGCTCCCAAAGACCCAATAGCATATATTATGTATAAACAATTTCAAATTGGTTTTATGCTTAAGTTGTCTTTTCTAGAAAATGTAACCAACTTAGACACATAAGTGGCAAGAATATATATATACCGTTCGACATTTCCTTCATGCTACATGAAAGGAAAAGTAAAGGTGTACTTTGAAGGACATTGGCCTGTGGCATAAACAATGGAAAAGAAAACAGTAAAAATAGCCCTTTACTTAGGTTTATGTCCATTTATTACGTGAAAATAGGAGAGACAAGCTACATCAAAATTATGCAACAATGTACACTTAATCTAGTATCTAGCAAGAGGAAAACTGAACACAAAATAATAAAATATTCCATTTAGATCATTAGAAACTGATAAAAGTTTTCATGATGAAGGAGAAATACATAACATTTAAGAAATAAGCACTGTAGATTGGTTATAAAGCTTATTTGACATTGAAACACTAATGTTTACCTTGTCATTCAGCACACGCAAACAATATACAGACCCACAAGGAGAGAAGTTAGTGGAAAAAAATAGAAAGTTGCTCATTTTCACCATGTACAGCAAGGAAAGCTCCAGAAGAAATACAGCATTGAACTAGAAATTGCATCAAAATATCACAGTCTCCTGGTTTTCCTCCTCCTGCTTCTCATTTTCTTTCGCTAGTTCTTTCTACTTTTCCCAGACACCACAATATTGAATTATGAATTGCCTAGGGTGCAGTGTCAATGTTCATTTTTCTCTTAACTCAGTCCCTGAGTGATCGCATACATGTCCATATTTTATATACCATCTCTAAAATTAAGGCCACAACACTTTAATCTCTAGCCAAATTTCTCTCCTAGATTCTATATTACATATAGAACTATATTTGAAATATTTAACTGGTATTATTTCCTTAAAGGAATCTCAGATCAAATCTGTCCAGAACAGAAATGATTTTAGTCCTCTCACCCCATAACTTCACCTCTCCCATATCTGTGAGACCACCATTGCTTCAATCCATTGCTTCAATCATTCCATTGCTTCAATCAGTTGCTCCTCTGTGACTCCAGAGTTATTCAGATTTTTTTTAAAGATTTTTATTTTCTTGGAGCACTCTTAGGTTCATAGCAAAATTGAGAGGAAGGTACAGCAGTATCCCGTTTACTCCCTGCTCCCACACAGGGATGTCCTCCCCATTATTAACATCCCCCACAACAGTGATAAATTTATCATGATTGATGAACCTACACCCAAAGTCCATAGTTTATGTTAGGTTTCATTCTTGGTGCTGAACATTCTGTTGGCTTGGACAACTATATGATGATATATATCCATCATTATAGCATCATACAGACTATTTTCACTTCTCTAAAAACCCTCTGTGCGCTACTTATTCATCTTTCTCTTCTCCCTAACCCCTGGCAGCCACATATCTTTTTGACTGTCTTGACAGTTTTTTTTGTCTTTTCCTAAATGTTGTATAGTTGAAACCATACAGTGTGAAGCATTTTCATACTGACTTCTTCACTTAGTAATGTTAATTTAAGTTTCCTTCATGTCTTTTCATGGCTTGATACCTATATATTTTTTTTGCATTGGATAATAATCCAATTTTGGAAGTAGCACAATTTATTCAACCATTTACCTATTGAAAGTCATTTGGTTCTTTTCAAGCTTTGGCACTTGTGAATAAAGCTGATATAAATATACATGTACATGTTTGTTGTAAACATGAGTTTTTAACTTCTTTTGGTAAATAAATACCAAGGGGTGTGATTGATAGTACGGTAAGAACATATACAATTTTGTAAGAAAATGACAAACTATTTCCTAAAGTGTCTGTACTATTTTGTATTCTCACCAGCTATGAATGAGAGTTTCTATTGTTCTATGTACTTGCCAGCATATGGTGATTATAGCCTTCTGGATTTTGGCCATTCTAATAAATGAGTAGTTATATGTCATTGTTATTTTAATTTGTATTGACTTGATTACGTATGATGTCAGATACATTTTTATATGATTAATTGCCATATTTCTGTTTTCTTTGGTAAAGTGTCTTTTAGGGTCTTTGGCTCATTTTTTAATAGGCATGTTTGTTTTCTTATTTTTGAGTTTGAAATTTTTTTTTTGTATATTTCAGATAACACTTTATTATCAGATATATATTTTGCAAATACTTTCTTCCAATCTATGGCATGTCTTTTCATTCTCTTGATAGTGGGTTTAGCAGAGCAGAATTTTTTAAAATTTTATGTTTTAAGTTTTGCTTATCAATTTGCTCTTTCATGGATCATGCCTTTGGTGACATATCTAAAAAGTCATCATAAGTATAAGGTCATACATTTTTTTCTCCCATGTGAAATCCTAGGAGTTTTGTAGTTTTGTGTTTTACACTGAGGTCTATAATTCATTTTTTGTATACATTTTTGTGAAGGGTCTAAGTTATGTGTCTAGATTCACATTTTTGTATGTGCATTTCCACTTGCTCCGGCAGCATTGATGGAAATGACTATCTTATTTCTATTCTATTTCTTTTACTCCTTTATCAACGATCACTTGACTTTATTTGTGTCAATTTCTGGGGTCTCTATTCTGTTCCATAGATTGTCTAATATTTCACCAATACCGCAGTGCCTTCATTACTATAGTCAGAATTTTTAATGTGCAATATTTAAATTATTTAATCTTGTTTTAAGTATATGCTTTATATTGCTATGTTGCCAGAAAATGAGGAAGAGTGTTTTGTTTTTTGGGAAATTCTTCATTTTTTTTTAACTTGGTGTATTATAAATAAGATGATTATAACTTGTGCAATACTCATAGGTGTTTGAGAAAAAATAATCACCTTCTCTCTTAATTAAAACAGATAAAAAGAAAGAGAGAGAGGAGAGGAGGAGTGGAAAAGAGAGGGAGAGGGAGAAAAAGAGAGAAAGAGAAAGAGGACAGAAAGCAATTTGAATAGCAATTAGAATAGGTCAGCTGTGGAAAATGGCTTATAATTAAACCTAACATTTTAATGCCGGCAGGAGAAAATCATAAGACATTATAAAGAATTCATCAAATATTTAATTGACTGCCATAGAGAAAACATGCCTAATGAAGAGCTGGAGGAACCACGAATATAGTCTACAGAGAGCATTATCCTCAACACAAAATGCCTACACTGTGGTTATCAATAATTGAAATTATACTTGAGGTTAACATTGACCCTATGTAATTTTACTTTCCAGTTTGACATTAGAATTATACTCTGTGGAATATTGAACCCACCTTGTATATAATTCCAACATGAAATATCATTTTATACATATTTATTACTTCCTATATGAAAGATAGTATGTTAGGCCTAGGTGACATTAAAGCAAAGATAAGTAATGCCAGATCCAACCAAGCTTTTAGTATTATTGGGAAGAGATAAGAAATGAACAAATAAATTCATAAAACAAAACAGTAACAGTTTTTGAATATGTTGTGGAAAAAACAGAAGTACATAATAGATTGCAATGAAGTAGTACCTCAGATGGAATACTTGGGAGAACTTTTCTGTGGAGTTGGCATTTGTGGAGACACCTGAAAAATGAGAAGATGCCTGCCAATTGAAACACCTTGGAAACAGCCTTCCAGGCGAGGAAGTAGCAAATGCAGAGAAATAGTTAAAGTACTTATCATGGTGAGAAATAGAAATAAGGGCAGTGTGGCTGAACAGACTTCAATATTTGTATAAGGTGAGGATAGGGGTTTAAGAAGGGACCCCATTCTGTAAGATGTGGAAGGCTGTATATAGAGTTTATATTTTATTGAAAATTCAGCAGGAAGATATTGAAGGATTTAAATACAGAAAGGCAAGATCAAATTGACATTGTAAAAAAAAAGGACTCTGACTTATGCTCTATAAATAATAATTATTGATGTGGCAAATGCAGTATTCCAGGCCAGATATGATGTTGACTTGTGGTAGAATTGGGGGCCAGGGAAAAATGAGGTAGTGACAGATTTGAAGTATTTGTTGGAGGTAGAACTCATTGTACTTACTGATGGATTTGATACAGGAGGGCGTGACTGAAAGGATAAATTAAGGGGAACTTGGATTTTAGCTTGAGAAACTAAATGGACATAAGGTCTTATATGAGACATAAGAGTTAGAGATGGGAATAAATTGGTGTGGCTGAAAGGAATGGAATCAAGAGTATTATTCTGTTCAATGTCATAATGCAGTTATTGGGACAGTCAAGAGCTTTGAAGTATGTAAAGCACTGGGGTTATCTCCTGGCACACAGCAAATAATTATTAAATGTATCATTATTTTTCTTATTATAATTCATATTCATTTTATCTATTATTACAGTTGCAATTTTCAAATGTGTGTGATTATTTGTTTAATGTATTTGGTTACATGGAAGACTGTTTTCCTCTATACACGTTTGATTGACATAAAAATTCTAAATTCACTCATAATTAAATATTTTTCAAAATAGATTTCAACACATATTTTATTATCAGCTTTTCTGAAAAAATGTATTAATTTTATAATGTTCAAGGTTTCCCAATTAGCACTCTCTTTCAAGCACAAAGTTGCTTATTTGTAAGTTCTATTGCATAATAACCCTCTTCTTTCAGTATGTTAAAATTATAGTTGCAGCTCTTTTATTTTAATTTATAGTTAATCTTTAAGATTGAGTTATATGTTTGATAGTTTTGATTTATTACTGGCCCCTTGAAACATTGATTTTCATATTTCATTGGCTCAAGTAATTGTTTATGTAGATTTTTGTTGGTTGTTTTATTGAGAAAGATAGATGGGGACATATTATATTCATTCTATCATATCAAAACAGTTCTTTGATTTGAGGTGACTCAAAGTAAATGTATGGACATTCACTTAGTGGTCCTTGGCATACCTGTCACATTATATTCCCACAAATCTTTGTAGGCTTTATTTAACTGCCTTAGAGCATGTGATGTGGCAGGAGAAAGGTATGAATTAAGTGATCAGTTTTCTCTTCGCAAAGGTTTTAGTCTGTTTTTTTACTCTTTAAACTGGTTAGGCTTGGATTTCTCAGAAACTTCCATTGGCTTCCTTGAGATGAGGTTGTGTAAGAGGAGCTTAACTTTCCAGTAGGCCTCATGCTATTTCTTCAAAAAACAAAGAAACAAAAAATCATTTTTTAATGGATTATAGAAAATGCTAGGTCTTTAGTGGCAAGTTTCTAGAAATACTAGTTTCTTTATTATCATTGTTTTTACTTTTTGCTCCTCGAGATAATTTATTGTTACGTACAAGAAATTTATATTCAACAGCATATTTGAATATTGCTTTAGTTTTGTTTGTTCTCACTCATTATTTTCACTCAAAAATATGTGTGTAATATTTTAAAATTATATATTAACACATACAAATATAACTTTTAAAACTTGTTTCACTCTCCATAAGTCACAACTGCTTCATTAATTCCATAAATCTTACTATTTTAAAGGGAGCCATGCTCTGTCACACGAGTTGAAGCCATGCTCTGTCACATGGAGCCATGCCCTGTCACTCAGGAGTTCACTCATCATGGGGCCATGCCCTGTCACATAAAAGTACACTCATCCCAAAGAAAATGTGAGGTTTTTTTAATTTTCATTTTGAAATAATTATGGAGTCACATCTAGTTATAAGAAATAATACAGAGAGATCTCGTGAGCCCTATACCTAGTTTCCTCCAGTGGCATTATCTTGCAAAATGATAAAGCAATGTGATACAAGGATATTGACATTAATATATTTCACTTATTGAGACTTCCACAGTTTTACTTGTACTCATTTATGGGCATAAATTTACTATTACACAATGTTATCAAATGTGTAGGTTTGTGTACCCACTACCAAAGTCAAGATTCTAAACGTTCCATCACTACAAAGGGCCTTCCTTTGTATTCCCCTTTTATCATCACAGCCACATCTGCTCCTCCTTAACCCCTGGCAACCAAGGATCTCTTTTGCATTTGGAAAACTATATCATTTCAGAAATGTTATGTAAATGGAATAATCCAATCTGTAATATTTTGTAATAGTTTCCTTTTTCCCCACTTATAATAATTCCCTTGAAATTCATTGAAATTATTGTAAATATCAATAGTTCATTCCTTTTCATTTCTGAATCGGATGCCATAATATGGATAAACCATACTCAGAAAACATTTTATGTTCAGAATCACATTAATTTACTTTCCATAAGTGCATAAAAAGTATTTCAATTAGTTTATTTGAGTCACCCCTAGCTCGTATCTCAAAAAAATCATAGTACCTGCCTTGTTTATAAATTGTTAAAATCCATGACTTTTTAACAATTTTTCTTGAAGTTTAATATAGAAAAGTCTGCACATCAAAAAGTGTACAATTCAGTGAATTTTACCAAAATGAAGTATATGTGTAATCAAGATCAGATCAGTAAATAGAAAATAATGTTTACCCTGGAAGTTTTTATAATATCCTCCTTTTTCACACACCACCTTTCAAGGATGGCCACTATCCTTAATTCTAAGAACATTGATGAGTTTTTATAATATTCACAAACTATTTTGAGGAATAGATATTTTATATAATTCAATTATACAGTGCATATTCTTTAGTTCTTTGTGTTTGGCTTCTTTAGTTCAATGATGTATTTGCTGGATTTCATTATTGTTGAATTAGTTATATTTTGTTCATTCTCATTATTTGTGTAAAACAGGTGACTCTATTCACAATTCTCTATCATTGGCATATTTCTTTATACTTGTTCCAACATAAGCTTTCATAATTGTTAAAATCTGGGAGTAGGTCTTGATAACTTGGAGTTGAAATCCTCCATCTTCATTCATTTTTTTTAAGATTGCCATGACTATTTTTGGCCGTTTGTTGCCAAATGAATTTTAGAGTCAACTTTTTAAATTTTGCAAAGTAAAATTTAAAATAAAAATTTTAAAACATGTTTTGATTTTGATATGGATTGCATTGAACTTGTATAATAATTTAGGAGGCAATAAAGATCTTTATAATATTCCAGTAAATGAAAATGAAGATAACAAATCTTCCACTTATTTATATCATATTTAATAATTTTCAATTCCTTGCAATTAGTGTAGCAGTCTTGCCCATTTTTGTTTTTATTTATTTCAAGTTACTCAATGATTATTAATGCTACTGGTAAAGGTATTTTTGTAAATTTTATATTCTATTTGTTTGTTGCCAGTGTTTATAAATATAATTCATTTTTAATAGTGACTTTGTATCCAGTGACCTTGCTAAATTAGTTTATTAATTTTGATAGGTTGTACATTACTTCTGAATTGTCTAAGTTTACAATTGTGTCATTTTTGAGTATTGAGAGTCACTCTTATGCCATCAATTTGCCTCATTTTTTCCCCATTAAAATGTTGAATAGTCTTCGAGATAGCAGAGATAACAGGCAACCTAATTTTGTTCCAGATTTCAGGGGTAATTATGTACTATGATATGTACTATCGGGTTTTGCATGTGTGTGTATGTGTGTGTCCACGTGTATTAATGCTTGACAGTCTATATCATATTAACAGAGTTTCTTATAACAGATTAAGACTAATTTCCTGAAATTATTTTTCTTATGAATAGGTATTCCTTCTTTCAAATGCTTCCTTTCTTGCATTTATCAATATCATATGATTCTGTGTTCAGGTAATACATTGTATTGATTAATTTTCAACTGTTTAAGAAACCCTGCACACATAGAAAAAGCTCACTTGTTTATTATACCCTATCCTTTGAGTATATTGTTGAATCTGACTTAATAATATTTTGTTTAGATTTTAATCAATGTCCGTGAATGAGATTGATGTATAATTTCATTTTTTTTTACCACATTACACACTAAAACATTCAATGTTCTTGTCAGATTTTCCATTCCTGGAAAAACTCATCTCAAAAAATTTTTAGGAAGACTTTCCTCTGTTTTATATTTTTGTTTCCTGAAAGAATATGTGCAGTGTGCAGGCTTGTATTTACTTCTTTTGAAAAGGTTTGGAAGAATTCACAGCTGAAAGCATTTGTGTCTGAGGTCTTCTTTCTATAAAAGTTTTATTTATGAATTTAACTTATGTGAAATGTATACAATCACTGAAAAGCTTTCTTTATTCTTTAATAACTTTCGTAAGTAGCATGTTTGGAAGACTTTGTTCATTTTATAAAAGTTCTCAAATTTATTGTCATCAAGTTGCTTATAATATCCTTTTACTACCACTTTGATATTTGTGGGTTCCGCAGTGATGCATGATTTTGCCCTCATATATTATTATGGGACCTATGTCATTTTATTTCTGAAAAGTTTTGCAAAAGTTTTATTACTTTTTCAAAGAAATAACATTTGCTCTGTTAATTTTCTTTATTTAGTTTTTTCTCTGTTGTACTGATTTCTATTTCTAGATTGAAATAAAAACTTAACTTCTTGCTTTTAGATTTTTTTTTAATGTATTGCTGGAATTCTTTTCTAAGCACTCCTTTACCTCTTGCCCCTAAGCTTGGTATGACATTTTTATTATCACATTGTTCAGAATTTTTTCCTTTTGTAATTTTTAATTTTGCTATGATTTTAACGTTATTCAGTATTTAACCAATTATTTATATTTGTTCCTTTTGCTCTTTATTTCTTCATCAAGGTAGTTTGAAAAGTATTAATATAAATTGATAGTGTTTTCAAAAATTTTAAGAGTGTATTACATACATGATACCTTAGCCCATCAAAATACCTTCAATGTTTATAACGTAAGAGGAAAGACATCATTTTACATAACTAAAGTATAGGATTGAAACAGGAAATTTAATAAAGGTAATTACTATTACCTAATTAACAGTCCGTAATCAAGTTCCATCAATTGTCTGGACAATGTCCTTTATAGTCTTCATCCCCTAGCTCTAACCTTCTTTAGAGGATAAAATCTAGGATAATGTACTGAATTTAGTTTTATTTTATTTTTTTAAGGGGCAGGATCTTGCTCTGTTGCCCAAGCTGGAGTGTAGTAGTGCAATCATAGCTCACTGTAACCTCAAACTCTTGAGCTCAAGTGATCCTCCCTTTTTAGCTTCCTGTGTAGGTAGGATTACAGGCGCACACCACTATGCCCAGCTAATTTTTATTTTGTTTTATTTTTTGTAGAGATGGGGTCTCACTATGTTGCCCAGGCTGCTCTTAAACACCTGGCATCAAGTGAGCTATTTAATAGATCTCCCAAAGTGCTGGGATTACAGGCATGAGCCACTGCACCTGGCCTTTCATGTCATTTTATTATTTCATAACCTAAAATAGTTCACCAGCCTTGCATTGTCTTTCATTACTTCATATTTTTGGAAAGCATAGGCTATTTGATCTAAATGATTTTTTTGAGTTTGTCTTATGATTCCTCATGTTTAATGGCAAGTTATGAATGCTGTTAGAAATACCACAAAAATGATACGGTGTCCTGAGAAGTGCATCAACTCAAGAGGCCCCTGACATCAATTTTGTTAACTGTAGTCACTCAATTATAGTGTTATTGGCTGGGTATGTCTACTGCAAAATTACTACTTTTGCTTTTATAATTTATAAGAATTTACATGGAAGTGATTTGATTCTAAGAAAATATCCTGTTTCTCATTACTTTTGGCATCCCTTGAGCATACCCATGTTAATTAATTATGAACAAGAGCTGCTAAATGGTAATCAAATTCTATCACTCTTTCTATCATGATTTTTACAGCTTTCCCTTTTTCTGTCTCTACAGCTCTATCTTATCTATCATCTGTCTATCCAGTTAGTAGGTAGTTATATCAAAATGTCTCATGAATTCATGTTATATTCAATTGGATTGTAGTCCACTAACATTATCATCTAGTTTGAGGTTAAAATTTTTCTACGTGGAACCCCATTCAAATTGGTGCCTGGGTCTCTTTCACATGCAAGCATCATTCACTGAGTGCTTGACTTTTCCTGACACACAAAGACATTCTAGACTAATCCATCTCTCCCCTAGCTTTGGAATCAACATGCAAGGCTTACTTTTTTGTTTCCACTTGGTTAGGCTATGGTATCCAGTTATTTGATCAAGCTCTAGCCTAGATGTTGTTGTGAAGCTATTATTTAGATGTGATTAACATTTATATCAGTAGAGGGAAGCAGATTGTCCTCCATGATATGGGTAAATTTCATCGAATTACTTGAAGGCTATATGAAAAAGGATTGTGATCTTCAAAAGAGGAAGATATTATGGCTCTCAAGTGCCTTTAAAATGAGGACTGCTACATTATCTCTTCCTGGGTCTCCAATCTGCCAGCCTGCTCTGCAGATTCTCGATTTGCCAGCCCCTACTATCATGTGACTCAATTCCTTAAAATAATTTTTTTTTTTTTTTGAGACGGAGTTTTGCTCTTGTTGCCCAGGCTGGAGTGGAATGGCGTGATCTCGGCTCACCGCAACCTCCGCCTCCCAGGTTCAAATGATTCTCCTGCCTCAGCCTCCCGAGTAGCTGGGATTACAGGTGCCTGCCACCATGCCCAGCTAATTTTTGTATTTTTAGTAGAGACAGGGTCTTGCCATGTTGGACAGGCTGGTCTTGAACTCCTGACCTCGGGTGATCCACCCCACCCGCCTCGGCCTCCCAAAGTGCTGGGGATTACAGGTGTGAGCCACCACGGCTGGCCAAAATAAATCTCTCTTTCTGTGTACCTATCCTATCTATTGACTGATAGATAGATTGATGGTAGATAGACAGATCCTGTTGATTCTATTTCTCTAGAGAACTCAATACAAGTAATTTTTCCATGTGGCCCATGTTCCTTTTAGCAAAAAATGGTATCTGAAAATTAAGTCCTGAGTTATAGGTGTGCTCATTGCCATTATATTTTTTAATGTTTCCAGGCCTTCTCATCTGTGAGAGCTAAAGAAATATAAATATATATTTGTATACAGAGATATATAAACACACACACACATTTCTCTAATTACAATTCAACATCTCAAGGTTCATTATTCTAGGCTCCCCATTTCTATGTATTTAACTTGATTCCCCAACAATAAGAAACCTGGCTTCTAAATATTCTAAATATTCACTCATTTGCTCAATTACAAAATACAGACTGTAGCTACAAAATGGCTGCCCCACTTCAAAATTCCTAACCTATACCACTGAAAACTAAATCCCACTAACTAGAAATAACTACACTTTAACTTTTGTTTACAATGTTTTCATTTTTGCTTTAGACTGTGTGTTAGATTCAAAATACTGTGTTCTAAAGTAACTTAGATAGTTTCAGTCAGTTTTTTTTACCCTTCATTGTGCTTATGGTCAATTTGTTTTTGTTCTTTATCTTTCCTCATTCATTAAGTGTTCTTTATATATTTTGAATATTAGCTCTTTTTGTGACACATATATTTAATGTTTTGTTAATATTTGTCCCAATATTTAAAATTCTTTAGACCTTTGATGGTGATTTTTGCTGACATGCAACATGAGTATGTGTGTTTGTGTGTATGTGTGTGTAGTTCTACTTTATTATTTTTTTCAGTATGAGTTTATTGCATCTAAAAATTGAGTCTTAGTGAGAAAATCCTTTCCTATACCCCAGTTATATAAGAATTCAGCTACACTTGTTTATTTCCCAGAAATTGTATTTTAAAAAATATTCAGATCTGTTATGTTTTTTCTAGAGTCCATTTATTTTTATCTTTTTTTCTGCTAGCTGTATGGCTGTCTCAGAAACGTTTATTGCAAATTTCCTTTGATTGAATCATTTGTAATAGCAGTTTTATTATCTATGGAATTTCTGTATGTATCTATCTGTATTTCTGGATTTTATATTTCATTTTACTCTGTCTATTTATGTATCAACACTATAGTATTTGAATGACAGAGAATTTATGTTTTTATATGATGTATGCTACAGGATTACTCCTACTTGTAGAGTTTTTGATCAATTCTTTTCTAAATTTGTCTTGTATATTTATTTGCCCATATTAAATAGTATCAATATGTCTAGGTTTATAAATAAGCTTAGAGTTATTTTTAATGGAATTGTTTCAAATTTATAAAGTAACTTAGAACTCACATTTTTTAAATATTGAGCATCCAAAAAAGTATATCTTTTAATTCTACTTGTGTATTTTTTAAGTGTCCTAAAGATTACCTCTTATGTTTTGCAAATTTTTTAATTTTTTTATTAGTCTTTTTCTTAAGTATATTTATGTTTAATTATTTCTATCATAATGATCTTTCCCTACAGTTATGTATTCTAAATGGTTATTTGTGTACAAAACAAGACTATTTATTACACGTTTTAATTTTATACCCTGCTATATTAATGCATGCTTTGTTGCTTGAAAAATTGAACATATTTTAATTTTCATGTTTTATCCTATTATCCATGGACTATTAGAGCTTTTAAAAAAGTCCATGTAGTCTAATATTTTCTAATTATATTATTGCCTTTGAGTTTTAGCTTAATATCATTGTGGTTAGCAATGATTCTTTCTATAATTTCAGTCTTCTTGTAACCGCCCACGGGGTTCAACTTGCCTGCTAACTAAACACAGCTGATTTATCAAGAAAGAGAATTGCAATGGAGAAAGAGTAATTCACACAGAGCTGGCTGTGCAGGAGACTGGAGTTTTATTATTATTCAAATCAGTCTCCCCAAGCACTCAGGGAGCAGAGTTTTTTAGGATAGCTTGGTGGGTGGGCGGAAGCCAGTGAGCCAGGGAGTGCTGATTGGTCTGAGATGAAATCATAGGGAGTAGAAACTGTCTTCTTGTGCTGAGTCAGTTACTGGGTGGTAGGCCACAAGATCAGATGAACCAGTTTATTGATCTGAGTGGTGCCAACTGATCCATCAAGTGCAGGGCCTTGATGCACTTGATATCTCAAGCACTGATCTTAGGAGGAGTTTAGGGAGGGTCAGAATCTTATAGCCTCCAACTGCATGACTCCTAAATCACAATGATTTAATCTTGTGGCTAACGTTAGCCCTACAAAGGCAATGCAGTCCCCAGACAAGAAGGAGGTCTACTTTGGGAAAAGGTTATTACCATCTTTGCTTAAACTATAAACTATAAATTAAGTTGCTCCCAACATTAGTTCAATCTATGCCTAGGAATCAACAAGAACAGCTTGGAAGTTAGAAGCAAGATGGGAGTCAGTTAATTTAGATCTCTTTCACTGTCTCAGTCATAATTTTGCAAAGGTGGTTTCAATTCCTCCCTTTTGGTTTTATTACTCCTTAGTCTTAAGGCGTAGGCTATGAAGATGTGAAAAGGTCATCAATCATTCTGGCTTCTTCCCACTGACGGAAGATGTAGTGGGAATGGGAGTGAACCCATTGAGAGTGAGAATAGTGGAACAGCTTTCCAACTGTCTGTGTGTACTCATACAGGCTTGGCTGGGCTATCAAGGCTTGCATGGTGAAAATAGTAGTACTTACATCTGTAGTTTTAGTACTGTATTTAAGTGAAAAACATGCTATAAGGGAAATAATGAGTCCTAGGATGAAGAGTACAATTCCCAATTTTAAATGCAAAGATTTGAAGGCATTCATTTGGGGACTTCTAACCCACAAATAATTTAGCATTTAGTCTGAACTGCAGGAAAAAAAAAAAAAAACTCAAGCACAGCTAAAAACAATGTACTATAGTTTTTTCTTTTGAAGCACAATTTTTCTCTCTCCAGTTCCCGTTTTTTATAAAAAAAAAAAAGTTATGATAGAACTGAATTGTTTACAAAATAAACTTTAGTCTTATTGTACTTGCCCGATTATTTGCATAAAGTGCAGCAAGAATAATTATTTTTCACATTTAATTGGCTTTGATGGAAGACTGTCCCACAAGGAATCTCAGACAAGACTTTTTAACAGCTGAGCCCAGCCAGACGTCTATACCCTAAAATACCTATGAGTTGGGTAAATTGTGTCCTCTTGAGGTCACAAGATAACTTGGGGTTCCTGGGCCTGTTAGAAAGTGACATTCTTTACTTACCACAGGTCAGGAACCTTGTACATGGGCTGTGAAGACAAGATATGAAGTCATATTCTCCAAGAGGCTTTAATTGGTTCTATAAGTAAACTTTGATTCTTTAAAGGAAGCATGCTATTCCAGTCAAAACCTTGGTAAAATAACCAATTTCTCCAATTGTGTCGTGTTATAAAAGAAAACAGATTCTTGTTGCATTTATGCAATTAACTGTACTGCCATAAATTGAAAATACTCATTAATAGTTTCCAAATTCTGGGGAAATCAGGTAGAGAGAACAAATATGCTCCAAAAGTTTTACTTCCCACTGCCCCCCGCCCCAGCCCCCACAGTAATATATTTTACTCACTTGT
The DNA here is from genome assembly GCF_000001405.40 of Homo sapiens. Classification (NCBI taxonomy): domain Eukaryota; kingdom Metazoa; phylum Chordata; class Mammalia; order Primates; family Hominidae; genus Homo; species Homo sapiens. Next base: position 84,068,716 of record NC_000003.12, read on the forward strand.
AACAAGTTGCAAATAGCTCTAAAAAGTAAGTTATCTTGATACTGAAAACAAAAGGATTAGCAATGTTTAACACATCAGCTCTCCATGAAAGTCCCAGAAGTTTCATTTTTTCCTCTATTCCAATAGCACAATTTTTAAAGTTATCTGAGACCTGCACTGAGAGTCCTATATCTGATTATAAACTGCCTTTTGAAAAGGACCAAAGTAAGACAAAATGTCTATGGATGATAAAAGTCTGTAGCCACTATTACAGCTACAATTGACTAGGAATTTTGGCTACTTCTGTGGCATACAACAATTTTACATAACAATTACAATAATAATGTACCCTAAATCATATCAGAATTATAAAAGTTTTCCATATTTTTTGGAACACATACTAATAACATATTTATGCAAATAGTCCAAAGAAAACCAATCACCATTAATTCACTCTTCTATCTGAAAGTTTTTTCTCTATTCTAATGTCACAGTCTCCAGAGTTATTAATCAGAATCCTGCATTTAAGAGCATCTGTTAAATTTTATAGCTGATTATAAAACCATCTTTTAAAGAGGGGCAAAATAAGACAACAATTTTCTGTGGATGACAGAAACATTTTAGTGCAGCCACAGTTAAAGACATGATTGACAAGGAAATTTGTCACCTCTGTGGCACACAGTCAGTTAACATAATACTTATAATTATCACTGATAACATATACTAAGTCACATCAGAATTATAGGAGTTTTACATAATTTCAGAACATATGCCAATAATACATTTACACACATATAGCTCAAAGAAAGCCTAACACCATTTCATATTTGACAATGTTTCCTCTACAATTTGTATATGAAATAAGCCAAATGTCATTTATGAACATTAGAGGACCTAATACCTAAAATATTAGGCTAGAAAGAGACATAATTTATAATTTAATTTTGGAAAGTTTGTCAAATATCAAAGTTTTAAACATTGGATATTACAAAATAAAATCCCGTCAGTATGATTTTAATGTTTTAACCTATGGAAAAAAAAGTAAATAATTTCTTTTAAATCTTAGTCTCCTTGTTTATACCCACAGAATTTGTATTATAAGATTAACCCTTTACAAACCCTTTTTCACTTTGTCTAAGCCTTCAGTTTTGTCCTGTTACTCTTTTAGGTTAAGACAAACTTTAAAACCTTCCGAACTAGACGAGATTACATTCCCTTTAACAAAAGCCATATTCCTATGCCTTCTTATAATCTTTTACCAAAACCACATTCACTACACAACTTATATGTAAACCTGTTTATCCAGTAATCTCAATTTCATGTTACAATGTTAACCCTTAGCAACTTTTATTTTTAATGAAAAGTCAGGTAAGTGATTTTGATTATATACTAGGAATGGAGCCTAGAACATCAGATAAGGTCATCAGATAAGGTCTGACTCTTTTCAGCATTTAGGGGCATGGTTTCCACATGTCCCCAAGCCTCATCTATAATCTAATGCTCCAAAGTAGGTAAATTGAACAATTTTCAAAAGTCAAGGAAACAGTTTAACCTTAAAGCATTTAGCAAATCTGATATCTCACATTAATTTAGACCCAATGTCTACATTTTCAGGACATTTTATTTTACCAATAATCTTTAAAACTGTTTTTATTTCCAAAACATTACTAAAGTCATGTGAACAAAAAAGGTACTAAAGTTTCTATTTTTCTGAACAAAATATTTGACTTAAGTGCTTATTTTTCTAAGCCAATTAATCAGAGCTTTTTATATATAAACATCATACACACAACACATATAAATGCAGACAGACAGAAGATTCAGCACTTATAAGATTTTTCATTTGCCAGTTTCTTAATTGCATTACTGGCTTCAGTGTGGAGCCCTTGGAAGAACAGGGCCAGGAAAGCTTGCATTTCTGGGACCTAATCACAGCCAAAAGCAGAGACAGATCCCCAAAATTCAGGGTGCCATTTTATACTGGATCCTGGATCCCCAAAAAGTGGGAAATACTTCGGGAGAAGACAGGGCAGTGCTCTTACCGACTGTGCATTTCATTGCAAGGCCACCCAAAGCCTATCACCCAATGGTGTAATTAGACCATCCCCCATGGGAGCCTCACCTGTCAGTGGGAGTGGGGATGTTTCCATATCTTCCTGGTGGCCAAGAGCATGCTTCTGTGATCCAAGTGTGCAAAGAGTCAAGTATTCCTCCATAACGATTATTAGCCATCCCCTTAAGTACATTTCCTACCTAGTTATTACACACCAAAGCTCTCTCATAGTGAGAAGTAATTTCTGATACCCCTGAAACTCAAAATTGTCAGATACCACAATGCAAAACAGAACAGAGCCTTTGATTTTAAGAGGGATCTATATGCTTTTAATTTCTGGGGTTTCATGAGGAAAACAGTGTTTTTCCAAGACACAGTCTGTCGCACCTCCTATTTTTCCCAAGGAATCCCCAGCTGCCGGAAGTTATCTTAGGGCCTCTTATATGTGTGTTAAGGTTGGCTAGAAAAAAATGGAGAAAAATAATTCAGTCGACTGAGAAGAAAAAAACTTCCCAGAAAAAATGAGATTGAAAAAGAGAAAAACATAAAGAAATATACCTATAGCTTATCTACTTTAATTAAGCTGACTTTTAGCCATAGCACTCCTTAAAAAAGAATCCTTTTAAATTTTTTATTACCCGACTTTAGCCACACCAAGAGACCAATACTTTTGGCTTTTGAATTCTACCATGGGTAACTTCCCACATGAAGTTAATCAGTCTTAACTAAGGTTATAATTTAACCATGGACACATAGGTATCTCAAAGAGATGGATAAGCAGTTTCCTTTTTTTCAAGATTTAGAATCTCCCCTAGGGTAGTGTAGAGAAAGGGAAATTCAAGACAGGAAATCAGAAGCTATCCATGGGGGGAAAAAATTTCAATAAATGGCAAAGTTACATAAATAAAAAAGCAGAAAGGAATCTCCAGAAGCCAAGAATAGAACCCAAGCAGCCGTTGTCAAAAGGCAAATCTTCAGCTTCTGAGGTACAGCATTAAGCAGTTTCTATTTCTCTTCCCAGAAGGAACCTAGAGAAGCCAATTTCAAGCTTGCAAAGGCTTTTAACTGCTAAAGAATTTTTGAGATAGAGTTTTGCTGTTGTTGCCCAGGCTGGAGTGCCATGGCATAATCTTGGCTCACTACAACCTCTGCCTCCTGGGTTCAAGTGATTTTCCTGCCTCAGCCTCCCAAGTAGCTGAGATTACAGGCATCTGCCACCACTCAGGCTAATTTTGTATTTTTAGTAAAGATTGGGTTTCACCATGTTGGTCAGGCGGTCTCAAACTCATGACCTCAGGTGATCTGCCTTCCTCGGCTTCCCAAAGTGCGAGGATTACAGATGTGAGCCACCGTGCCCTGGCCTTAAGAACATTTTTAGGGCTAACTATAACATGAATTCCCAGGTTCCTGTCTTCTAGATGGTAGAAGCCAAGAGAAAGCATCCCCACATAGTCACAAGGTTATGCTCTTAAGGACACAAAATGAGACTGAGAAATTTCTTCTGGTATTGGTTTCAGGGACAGGCAGCAATATTTATAACTGACCAGCCTGTCAGGCTTGCTTGAAAAGCAGGATCTTTAGGGGTCCTAAACCCACATTCTATCATGTGATACTCCTTTCTGCATTATACAACACAGAAAAACAAATTATTAGCACAAAGGGCACATGATTTGCTACTGCCTAAGACTAGTCTTAAAAATCCTTTCTCTATTAATCAAACCCTCGCAGAGAGTCAGTGGCATTTACTGTTTACCCAGACAGAGAGAGAGAGACCAGAAACTTGGCTGATAAGAATGTCTTACCCTTTTTGCCAGCATACCAGGTTTTTGGGCTCCCTTTCTCTGCAGCTTCCAGAAGAATGGAGAGGTTTCTGAAGACCCTGCCTACTGGGCCAAAGCTGTGGGACTCAAGTCACTTTACAAGAGAAAATCACCTTTTCCTGTTTTAGGGAACCACACACAAGATGATTAGTTTGCAAGATTCTGCCCAACAGGCTGCATGGGGAACTGAATAAACATTTTCCATCCCAGGAAAATACACATAACAAAAGAAACATTAGTTACATTGTTCAGTACCCAGTATCAACCCAGCAAAGCTGAAACTTTCCCATTGTTCCCTGTAGTCTTTGGTCCACTCCATCTTGGGAGGGACAACCTTCGAACAGTAATTCATAATGAGGTCTCTGAGCAAGGTGAAGAGGAGAGTATCACCCTGAGAGTCAGGCCTGTTGAACCTTCTTTAAGGGTCACTGAATGTGATCAGACAAATAAGGAGGGTTTTCTGAGTTAGGCCTGCTGGACTTCCATCAGCAACCCCTTCTGAGATCCTTTCCAAATATACAAACACACCTGAAGACGAGGCAGACAGAAGGCCTTCCGAATCAGATCCCTAACCAAAAACTCCAAGAGTATCCCTTCCAAACTATCCTCCTATTTGTCATCTGAGAAACCTCCTTGAAATCCTCCTGATTGAGAAGTCTCCCAAACCAAGACTCTTCCTATTAGTTGGAAAACGCCAACCAAAACCCACAGGAGCTGAACAGACACACTGCAGTGGGGCTACAGACACAGGCACCCCATGTTGGAGCTACAAACAGACACTCTGCAATAAGATTACAGACACCACACCATAGGGGTACATAACCAGCTGGGAAAAGAAAGGAGGTGTTAGCAGCCCCTAGGATACTCACAAATCCAGACATCCCACTGGGCTACCGTGGGGCTACAGATAGACACCCAACCATGGGGGCTACAGATAGACACCCTGTGATAGGGCTACAATTAAGGGATATCTCCTCATGATTATTTCTCCATTGCAATTAAATCCATGAGCTTTGGGTAAGCAGCACCCCACCAGTAGAGAGAGTACCAGAGTCAGCCCTCAGTCCAAGAAAACTAGTCAGCCACTTGGGCTGGCCTCTGGATCCATCGTTAAAAGGGGGGCACTGAACCACAGGCAGGTAGCTACAAAGACAATCCTGGATGAGCCCCTAAATTTGTAACTGGCCAAGGACCTTGCCTGCTGCCTAAACAGAGCTGATTCATCAAGACAGGGGAATTGCAATAGATAAAGAGTAACTCACGCAGAGCTGGCCGTGTGGGAGACTAGAGTTTTATTATTATTTAAATCAGTCTCCCTGAGCATTCAGGGAGCAGGGTTTTTAAGGGTAATTTGGTGGGTAGGGGGAAGCCAGTGAGCCAGGGCTGCTGATTTGTCCAAGATGAAATTACAGGGAGTCGAAATTGTGTTCTTGAGCTGAATCAGTTCCTGGGTGAGGGGACCACAAGATCAGATGAGCCAGTTTATTGATGTGGGTGGTGCCAGCTGATCCATCAGGTGGAGGATCTGTAAAATATCTCAAGCACTGATCTTAGGAGCAGTTTAAGGAGGGTCTGATTCTTGTATCCTCCAGCTGCATGACTCCTAAATCATAATTTTTAATCTTGTAGCTAATGTTAGGTCTGCAAAGGCAATCTAATCCCCAGGCAAAGAGTAGGTCTGCTTTGGGAAAGGGCTGCTACTGTCTTTGTTTAAACTATAAACTATGTTTCTCCCAAAGGTAGTTCTGCCTGCACCCAGGAATGAATAAGGACAGCTTGGAGGTTAGAAGCAAGATAGAGTTAGTTAAGTTAGAGCACTTTCACTGTCTCAGTTATAATTTTGCAAAGGTGGTTTCATTCTGACAGATAGGCCTGAACTAATAGAAGGAGACACAGATTAAATTAAATTTTAGATAAACATTTTAATTTAAATCAGATGGGAAATTTAATAACTGAAAAAGAAAACTATCTGAATGCCCAATGGTAAATATTAAAGTTGTGAATTTGCATAAGATATTGTCAAGGTGAATACAATTGCTAGGAAGTCATTTAAAAAATTTAAAGCTTTGTGCCATAATGAATACACTTTACTGAATTTAACACTTTCAATGAACATTCTATCATCATGTCTATAGTTCTTAAGCATTAAAAAGGAGGTGGTTTGAGGAATGTCAGTTCTGAGAAGGAGCGTACTGATACTAAGCCAAGAAGTTCAACTATCCAATCTGAAATTTCTGTAATGAAATAGAAAAATCAGGTCTCATTTGAGAGAAAGAAAGCCATAACGTCCGGCTATGATGAGTCAATAAGTTGAAAACTAGCATCATAAGGGTTGCTATGAGTCTTAATAAGCAGTGACCCCTCATGCATAATGACTGAACATGGCTACATTTTCACCTCTTAATGAGAATACTGACTTTCTGCCCTCACACTGTGTATGCTGTGACTACAACAACAAGACTAACCCAAAGTCCATTATTCATTCTAGAAAGTAACCACATTGTCTGACTAAGAACAGATTTGTTAATGTGGCAGGGATTTTCCATCATAATAAAATCCTCCTGTTAATGACTATTGCTAAGATATGCACTTATCAGACCTGAATATAAATTGATAATTCCTGCTTTTGAGGTCAGATCTATTTTTATGTATTATGTTGAATGGCAGATTCTATTGAAGACCTTAGGTTACTAGGATATATTTTAAAGGTAGTAGCTGGCTATTAAAATACACTTGGTCAGGGTTAACAGTGAGTCATTTTTAAGGAAGTTTTATTTGGAATAGAGGAATCGGAATGGATAAACCAATTATTAAGGTTTTATAATTATCTTTGGTAATTGATAATTATTTTTATCTTCATGGTAAGATAATCATACAATGTGAGGTATAAATTATTGTGTTTTTATAAAGAATTTGGCATTTAACGTGAGTGAAATTTTATATTTTAGATGATTGCAGATCACGGATCTAAATGACCATAGAGTAGCAGAATATGCTACCCCAAAATATCCCACTTTGGCATAAAGACTATTATGAGCTGAAGACAATTAAGAAAAACACATCCCAGGACTCTGCCCTCTCCTTATTTTAGCTAAAAGTCGCACATAAATTTGTGAGGATTTCCCTGCCTCTACTCTCCATCAGGAAGGGCAGATGTTAATCACTGGAGATAATTCTAGACCTTAGCCTAGAGAGGCACCAGAGGAATCTACATAACAAACTTGACTCACTAGGCCTTATCTTCCATTATTTCTTCCACATAGTTATCTTTCTACAATTTACCTTCTTCGAAAACTGAAAAATTATTTTCCTTTATCATGTCACTTCTCTAAAAATGTATTCTTCTTTTGTTAAGATGTTAGATAAGCCCCAATTCTAACCATCCACTAGAGTTACTCATCTCTGAGTGCTCCTATGTGTAAGCCAATTAGTGAACTTCTGCTTGTTTATCTGTCCTCTGTTAGTTTAATTTACAAGGCCACACCTGGAAACTCAAATGGGTAAAGAAAAAAGACACTTTTTTTCTCCTCACTCCACCCAGCTGATTCAAATTGAACAAGCCACTTGACTATTCTGACCATGTTGTTTTATTAGTAATATGGAAAAAATAAAATCTCCCTTAACTATTTCCCACGGCTATTGTGAGGACAAATTAAGATGGTCATTATAAAAGGTCTTAGAAAATAAACTTCTAATAAAAATTGGATGCTGTTTTAATTAATTGTAAATGTTAATGAGCTCTCATAACTGTCTAAAATGAATATTACTTTCCTTTTAAAATCCCAAAATTTTTTAAATTTTTCAGTCCTCCTTTACATTTTTCCATATTTCCAAATGAATATATGGATAATTATTTTTTATTACATATATAAATTATATACGCATAAACATATATATTTTTTCTCTGATATATGAGTTAACTTTTATCTGTAAATAAACACTTTTCCAACATAATTATTTATTTCTGGGTATATTATTTAGTTTAGATTTGTTTTCTTCTTCATGTCCATCCAAATAACCAAGTATTGTAATGTAAACTGATTAAAAAGATAATGGCTGCACCACATCTAAGCTACAGATTAAAATAAATTACAGCTTTTAAGATTCAGCAAATCTGCTTGTAGCATTTACATTCGTTGTGTTAAGTAAAACCTTCCATTATGGTCATTAATCAAGGTGGATGATGTATTGTTACACCCTCACTCCTTTGACGTATGAAAGATTCCACATCCAATTAGTTGCCAAAGATTATATCCATTTCAGGAGGTCTAGGTTTCTGTCCTTCAATTGCTAACAGATGTTATGACTTTGGGGAAGGCTGCCACTTTGGAATTATTTTCTTTCAGATAAAATAAGGGAATCAGGAATAGATTACCCTTCTAAACCATTCTAATGTTAATAGTTCATGACATTATGGAACACTGACAATTTGGGATTCAAATCCTTACCTTAGACCTCGATACTCGGAGCAACATAGAGAATGCCTGCAATCTTTCTTAGAGGGTCATTTAATTTTAAATCACTCAACATGTACATGGTTACAGAGCCCTCTACCACCACAACCTCAAGAGAGAGGAAATGCAAAAATCATGATAAAACTTAAGAACTAGAGCCCTTTTTTGGGGGGGGAGCAATATAGCTTTCAGAAAGGGATAATGAGAGAGTACAGGTAAAAAATGAGAAAAGCATCCATCCATTTCATATAACTCTTTGCCAACTACTACTGGCACACATTTAAAATTCATTGTCTACTAGAAAAGGCTATAGAAATCAATGTTTAACTTGAAGAGAATTACAGAAAAGATTGATTGCACCTAAAAGTTTATCCAGGTCATTTCTGATAGCATGCTAAATTTTTCATATAATGTGACTTCTTTTCTTCATTTCCTTGGACTTTGTTTTTCCCAATCTAGGGCTGTGCAAAGTTATCTTATTCATATAAGCCTTGTGAAACATGGGAAATGTATGATTAACTTTATAAATGTATTACATTGTCCTCAAATAGAAAGGTGTTGCCAGCGGAGGTGTTAATATGTGTATGAGCATGTATTAGTGTTCTTTGTGGGAGAAAGAGTGATGTAATTATCTTACAAACCTGTAGTGGGCAGTGATGTGGTAGCTGCTGGGCGCTTGCAATGCATGCAGTTGCAGAATATTAACCTGAATAGGTGTCCTAGACAATGGTTTTCAATCCAAATCCAATGAAGTTAAAATAAAAGAGTCATCAGATGGAAAGCAAAAGGGTCAGGAGTTAGGAAAAAAAGTATTACACACACACATGCATGCATGCATACACACGTGCACACACACACACTCACAGAGGATAAGAAGGAATTTAGGATAGTCTCTTGATTCCAGGGCAATAAAGTAATATATGTTTTTCATTTGGGTGCTTCTGGCCACTCAAAAATCCTCTGAGAGCTCAAGATTACAGACTTGGAGAAACTAAAAATAAATTTATATAGAAAAAAATTAAATCCAAAATAATATCTGTGGTTTTCTTGTTAATTTTTGGTGAATAATTACTGTAAAAAATTAAAATAGTCATCTGTTTTTCATGTCACAGTATAGGGACAATGCTGTTTTAAAAAGCAATAATATATTCACCACCCAGAAAAAAAATCTATGTATCTTCAGATATAGTGCATGTTCAACTCAGAACAATAAATGAAAGAGACAAATATCTTAAAAACTATATAAACATTTTCCAAAATGATTGTAGAATGTTATATTTTCACTCTTTTAACAATTGTTTCAACCTTTAATTTAAAATTTGAAATTCTATTAGTTTATTATTTCTATTTTGCAAAATCATTATAAACCAGCATGAAAAAACTTGCCTTTCAAAAACAAGAATGTTAACTAGGTCTTATGAATTCTTCATGAGATAATATTTAATGCAATTATTTTTAGAATTACTACTTAATAAATACATTTTGCTAAATGGGATTTTCTAAGGTGACAATATAACAAAACCACAAGCTTGCATGTTTCTATTTAACACATATTTTTACATGGCTGTAATATTTAAAACTGAATTCTACATTTTCTTTCATTAATAAGTTTGAACTCTTATAGTGTCTGCTTTCCAGAATTGCATTCGTCTAATTAGCTAACTCTTACTCTTTTAAGCATTGACTCAAATGATAAAAAAATTGTAAATACATAGGAACAAGTGTATGCATATCCGTAAGGCGAAAAAACAGAATTAATTTAAGATACTAATCTATACATTTACAGCATTCAGTATACAGAATTGGATCTCATGATCCATTGTGTTCTTTTTGTGAAAACTTGACATACAAAAAAATTCTAGTTATTAATATTCCATGTGTAAAATATATGCATAATATTTGCTAAAATATTTTCTATATCTCTCTTTCCCTCTCATTCTAGCTCTCTTAGAACAAAAACAAAGACAGAAAAACACTAGAATATCTATACTTTCTACCTTGAATTATCTGGTAGTCCAGAATATATTTTGCAGTTTAGATTCCAATATTATTTATTTTTGATAACATACTTTTATTTTTAACATTGATTTTAAGGATGTGAAAGGTCCAGGCACGGTGGCTCACGGCTGTAATCCCTGCCCTTTGGGTGGCTGAGATGGGTTGATCACTTGAGGTCAGGCATTCGAGACCAGCCTGACCAACATGGTGAAACCCTGTTTGTACTAAAAAATACAAAAAGTAGCCAGGTGTGGTGTTGCACGCCTGTGATCCCAGCTACTCGATAGGCTGAAGCAGGAGAATCACTTGAACCTGGGAGGCAGAGGTTGCAGTGAACCAAGATCGCACCACTGCACTCCAGCCTGGGCAACAGAGGGTGACCCTGTCTCAAAAAAAGAAAAAAAAAAACAAAAAGAACCCAAGCTTGTTAATGGAAAATATGAGTTCCTAGCTTCTTAGCACGGGTTTTATACAATAATTCAATATTCATTTACAAAGTATCAAAGCATGTTTGAGCATAGGGGACACTTTAGTGTATTAAAACATGGCAATCTATTACTTCACTTTTGGGACCAAATATTTTTTGTTTCTGTGTATTTTCTAATGCTGTCTCATAGACTTGACTAATTTTTTCTCTGCATTTCCCCATGATCCAAAGAATTTCTCAAAGCTTCTGTTAGTCCCTCAAATAAAAACAGTTCTTTCTCTGAAATTTCATAGCGTTATTTCTGCCCCTGTGCTTCTTTGAAGACACTTTTATTTCCTTCTTGTATTAAATCTGTTTATATTCCCCTCTTATGCAGCTCTAATGTCTATTGGAGATGTGAATAGTTGATTGAATTTTTTAATATTAATAGTAACCAAATGAGTATTTTATATATAGCAGGAGTCCAAAATTTGTGTTGGTAAATAAATAAATTAACATCTGGATGTTTTATGTTTGTTATTACTTGAAGGCACAAAGACAGAATAAGGGGTGTTTTCATAATTTTTCAGAATAGTTTATTAGAAATAAAATTTTACACATTGTATAAATAAGACGTCTCAGTATTAAAGAGTAAAGATATTTACTTGTCCCTCAACTCATGGTTATTTCAAATGAATTTTGTTGGAATTTAAATGTTACATAACATTACTTCTCATATTGTCTTCATTGTTTTGTAACAACAGAATCAGTTTTAGTATTATAAATAATAACTTCAAAGAAATAAATGACATGTCATCTACTTAACGATAGTTGAATCCGTTTTCTTGAGTTTTCCTTGTGTTTGACATAGCAGACCCACAAAATATACCTTTTTTTAAAGAATACATGTCTTGGTCGGGTGAGGAGGCTCACACCTGTAATCCCAGCACTTTGGGAGGCCGAGGCAGGCATATCACCTGAGGTCAGGAGTTTGAGACCAGTCTAACAACCATAGTGAAACTCTATCTCTACTAAAAATACAAAATTTGCTAGGCATGGTGGCGCATGCCTGTAATCCCAGCTACTCGGGAGGCTGAGGCAGGAGAATTGCTTGAACCCAGGAGGCAAGATTGCGCCATTGCACTTCAGGCTGGGCAACATGAGTGAAACTCGATCTCAAAAAAAAAAAAAAAAGAATAAATGTCTTTAATGCTGAAATTGTGCATGTGATACTAATGAGATTGTTTCTAAATAATTGAAGAAGTTAATAATTGCAGTTTAAATCAAAATGTACACCATTAAGTATATGATGTTACTACCCCTAAAAGTAGGATTTAAAATATTTAAATCATCATGTGGCTCGCACAATGTGAAACCCAAACAATCCCATGGAAATTTGTTGATCAAATAATCATGGATTTTATTCAAATTCTCAATTTTAAACATTTGTCTGATGTAAAAGCAAATGTTCTGATGTTTGAAAAATAAAATAATTTTTATCCATAAATTAACTTGTGTCTGTAGCATCAACAACTTGTTAATCTTAAGCCAAATGTATTGCATCATGAAACTTGAAATAGTCAGCAGCAGAAAACTGTAATATTTGCAACTCTCCCAACGAGTAACCATGTGGAGCCTGAACAATTGTACTGCTAGTACAAATGGGGTACTTTTCTGAATATCTGAATTGTGGTTTCATTACTTAAGATGGCAACCTAAGTTGAAACTCATGTTTTTTTTTTCTTTTTTCTTTATTGGTTTATTGATCTGTATAAAATAAATATGAAGGCAAGAGTAAAAAACAGCAACATGAATAATAGATAGTACAATATTGGCAAGAAAGGCTAAAATTTGTGATCTTTGACCATTGTTCCACTAAACTTACTTACCTACTTTGTTATGATACTTAACAAGTTACTACTAAATTAAATTTAACCTATTATTGGAATATCGTTGGGTGAATATGTCAGTTCTATCTAACCTTTCTATTTTATTTCTAATACAAAGAAGAAACAAATTAATAGCTCCTATTTATATCATCTATCTAATAAGCATTTTATAAAACACATTTCTCTGTGAAAAAATACTAATTGATCATCTCTTATTCATAGATATGAGTTAAATAAAATATAGCATAAGGTTAATTTGTAATCTTGCTTAACTAGTTAACAACTAAACCAGAATGAGGGAGAAAGAAAGACATATCACTTTTAACAATGCAAAATTTTTTGATTTAATTTGAAAAAAATCAAATAGTTTATTCTACCTCAAAATTAGAAAATATAGTTGTATTTCTCTCAATATAAAGTTATTTCCTGTCAATTATCTTTATTTATTATGTAATTTTTATGCATTTGTAAAGTTTTGGAAATCTTTTCCTAAAATAATAACATTATAAGTTATATTGAAACTCATGCTAATATATTTGAGTACTCTCTGTTGCTTAAAATAATCATTTGAACATGTGGGTTATGTTTGCAAAAACAAACAACTCATGGAAAATGAAGATCCTTTAAAAATATATCACAAAAATAATTTTCTCTCTCCTTTTTTTTAATGAAGACAAGATCTGCTTTTGTTGGCCAGGCTGGTCTTGAACTCCTGGGACTCAAGCTATCCTCCACCTTGGCCTTCCAAAGTGCTGGAATTACAGGCATGAGCCATGGCGCCCAGCCCACAGAAGAAATTTTATTGGCTTCATTTCCTCTTCAAATACTAATATCATTCAAGATATTTTAAGAAGTCATTTGCCATGACTCCATTCTGTCTACTCTGTTTAAACACATCAACATGGTACTTTTATTTTCTCTTTTTCTGGCTTACCTATTTAACTATCTTGGCAGTTTGATATGGATTTTATATCTCCAAGTATCAAACACACCAATAATATCCTTGTTCTGTTTTTCTGGTTGCTGTTTTTAAAACGTTTAATATGTTAAATATAAGGATACCTTATATTTACTCTATGTAAGTTTCATACTAGTGATTTAAAAAGTTTAGTAACTTTTGTTTAATGTATATTATATACAGTAGTGCCCCCTCATCTGTTTGGAATACATTCCAAAATCCCCAGTAGAAGCCTGAAATGAGGATAGTACTGAAATCTAAACAAATGCTCCCTGACTTAACTATGGTTGAAATTATGATTTTTTGACTTTATGATGGGCTTATCAGGGTATTTTTGACTAATGATATTTTTGATTTATAATAAATTTGTTGGGATTATAATTTGAGGAGCCCCATCATAATTTGAGGAGCATACGTATAAACTATGTTTTTCCTTATAGATGCATACCTGTGATAAGGTCTAATTCATAAATTAAGTACAATAACAATAAAATAGAATAATTATAACAATATACTGTAATAAAATGTATGTGAATGTAGTCCCTCTTTCTCACTGTCTCCAAATATCTTATTGTATCAAGACAGCTAGTAAGTGACTAAAAGGTGGGTAGTGTATACAGCATAGGTAGGCTGGACAAAGGGATGATTCACATCCAGTAGAGGATGGGGCAGGGTGCACCAGATTTAATCATACTACTCAGGATGGTGTGTAATTTAAAACTTATGAAGTGTTTATTTCCGGAATTTTCCATTTGGCTTAACACTATGTATTTAGGAATATTTCCTCATCTATAAAACATTTTTTAATAAGTAGAGAGTAGTTTACCTCAAATGGAGACAAATTGTTTATAGAATCTTGAAAATGTATGCATTATGGGAAAAATACCATAAACTAGATTTTTTAAAAGGGCAAATAGTAGATAACTTAGGTCTAGAATATTTGGTAAAATTATATATTATAAATTATATATTTGCTATTGGGACTGCACTCATATATGAGTTATGGAGAGTCTGTCCATGCTTCTTTTGTGATGAAATGTGATGCATTTGGATGGAGCACTACTCAGAGGACATACTAGAATTTATTAAAATGTAGGACTGAATTCTCAAAATGAAATATTACATAAAAGAAAAAATCCTTATTTAATATGGCTAGAATCCCTCTTCCAACTCCCCAATATTTATATTATAAACTGGAAGATTATATTTTATTTACTAATTACTCAGATATACATTTGATTTTTTCTAAATAAAATTTAAAACTTTGGGGGTCTTTGGGCCTATAAATATTTAATTCAAAAATTGATTAATTCATTAACTAATACAGTATTCAGAAAAAATTCAGATTATTTTCTATCTGCCTCCTGGGTTCAAGCAATTCTTCTGCTTCAGCCTCCAGAGTAGCTGGGACTACAGGCACCCACCATCACACCCAACTAATTGTTTTTGTATTTTTAGTAGAGACGGGCTTTCATAACATTGGCCAGGCTGGTCTCAAACTCCTGACCTCAGGTGATCCGCCTGCCTCAGCCTCCCAAAGTCTTGGGATTACAGGTGTGAGCCACCACTCCCTGCCATCGATGTAGGTAATTTTTCATGGTAAAATGTTTATATGATTCTAACTAGTGATTAGTGTATTAACTAGTGTACTATATTAGAATGCAAACATTTACCATTATTTTCCCAGGATATAGCATAGAGCAAGTGACACTGATGGCAAAAATTATTTTTTAAGCAATTATATAATATACAAAATGATAATAATCTTAAAATAATATGTGATTAAGACATGATGTATGGGCCCACGTGTTTTCTTATCAGAATACTTTCATACCATAGAGTAAAACTGGCACTTGTGTGTGTGATTCTAGTAAAAATTAAACAGAAAGAGAACACACAGGATTAGTTTAAATGACACTCAACCAGTAAAATGATATTACCAAGTCATTTGAAAGGGCATCAAAACTGTAAAAATAAGTAAGTATTTCACAGACACCCATACTTTTTGGGAAGAGGTAAAGAGACAGAAAAAAAAAATGGTCATTAAAGCTTCTTTTGCAAGCAATGTTACACTCTAAGACAATATAAAGGAATACCAGAGCAAAGTCATTTTATAAGTAGTAATGTTAATTATTCAAATGTATTTGCTATAGTTATAGTTTATTCATTTATTTTATAAGGAACACCATTATTCTCTTTATACTTATGTGATTTACTTCATCCTGAGCATGAAAAAACTGTTGTCCTACTTACCAGGCTAAAGAAAGTCATCCATGATTTGCGGGTCAAAAAGAGGGAGGTTTATTATTATCTCTTGCTCAAGCACTTTCACCTCCCTTGGCACTTGATTCATTAGATACTTGTATGGCCTTGGAAATTACTTTCAAACCTTTCAAAGTTAATTGAGCTCAGAACTGAGGTTCAAAGCATCTGTACTTTTCTCCTTTACTGAAATAAAATATAAATCAGTGAACCAAGTAGTCTCCTATATTGCCAATAAGCTTTGAAATTTGCTATAAAATTGTCACATTATATATTAAGACAGAATTATATTTTAGTTGATTGAAAAATGCATTTTTCTTCAACCAGTGTGGGATGATTTAAACTACTTTTCTGTTTCTCTATGTTATAGCATTTAATTTTGAATTAGTTTTCATATCCTGGCCAGAACCAAACTAACGAACTAAGCTAAATATAAAAATTAACGTACATAGAAAGAGGAACCTAAGGAAAATATGAGAGGGACATGAATACTTTTAATGCCCCCAAGCACATTTCTGAAAAAAGTTTTATTCTTAGACTGCCCTACTCAGTTGTTTCTAAATAAAAACCTGACTGACATTCAGATGTCTTCCAGTTATGATGAAGTCATAAGATATATGAATACACACACACACACACACACACACACACACACACACACAGATATTGGACAGCAGATATTTTCAGATACTGGACATGTGGGAAATAATCATCCCCAAGAGAAGGAACAAGAATGAGGCAATCCATACAAAAGCCCCAACTTGCTGCTTGGGGAGTTTCTGGGCTGTGATGTAGAGAAAGGATATTCAAACAGAAACAAGCAGTCTCTGGGTAGAAGAAGCAGAGTTCAGAGTTTGTGGAGGCAAATGTGGGTAAAATTCTAGGGAAGATTACTAGAGAAAAGAGGACTGATCATACCTGGCAGGACTCCAGATATCTGAGAAGGGTTATTTCTAGTCTTCAGTTGAGCACAGATCAGTGCACTTGTGAGATAAAATGTCCAAAGGCCCTGAAAGACCACCAGAAAGGTCTGGTGTATCACTCTTCAGAGCAAACAGACCTGGGGCTAGCTCATGATTTCACAAGTGAGAGAGGAAACAAGAGTAGAAATTCCTATGTGCTTTAAAATTAAGGAAATATCAAGAACAATTCTATGCCAGTATCTTTGACAACTTCAATGAAATGGACAATTGTTTTGAAAGGCTTAAATACAGAAGCTTAGTTAAAAATAACAAGAATAGTCCTGCATCTATGAACACATTGAACTTTTGCTTAAAACAAAGTCCCACAAAGAAAAATGCAAGCCCAGGTGGCTTTCCAAGCAAATTCTACCAAACATTAAAGAATGAATGAAAGTCAATTTTATACAAACTCTTTCAGAATATAAAAGAGAAGGAAAAACTTCCTCATTTATAAGACCAGCATTACCCTGACAACAATAGCTAGACAGACATACAAAAATAAAACTATACACAAATATCTCTTGTAAATATAGACACGGAAAGCCTTAACATTTTAGCTGATAAATTCAAGAATAAATAAGAAGCATAATAATAGCATAACCAATGGGTTTCATCCCAGAAATAAAATTGTTTCAGCATTTAAAAACCAAAAATCAGTAATTGGCTATACTAGCAATATAAACAAGAAAAAAAGGTATATAATCATCTTGAATAGAAACAGAGGAACCAGTTGATAAAATTCAATATCCATTCAGGAAAGAAGAAAAACTAAGAGTGGAAGAAAACCTCATTTTCAACCTAATAGAGGGCAACTATAAAAAATATAAAGTTAACATTGTACTTAATGAAAAAATCATTTTTCACTTAATATTGGGAATAAAACAAAGATATACCATCTCACCACGTCTATTCAGCCTTGTACTAAAGGTTCTAGGCAGTGCAATTCAACAAGAAAATGAAATAAAGTGTGTATATTTTAACATAGAAGAAAAAATTATCTCTTTTCCTGAGAAATTAGATTGATACATTCCATGAAGGCATAATTCAAATGGTATGTCATATTAATAACATTCTTGTTACCCACAGATAAAGGTAGAAAATAGATTTTAATATTTCTATAAAAATGCAATCTGTCACCCCTTTCTTTGACTAGGAAAGGGAATTCCCTGACCCCTTGCGCTTCCCGGGTGAGGCAATGCCTCATCCTGCTTCAGCTCAGGCTGGGTGCGCTGCACCCACTGTCCTGCAACCACTTTCCGACACTCCCCAGTGAGATGAACCCGGTATCTCAGTTGGAAATGCAGAAATCACGCATCTTCTACGTCACTCACGCTGGGAGCTGCAGACTGGAGCTGTTCCTATTCGGCCATTTCCTAGTCAAAGGAAGGGGTGACAGAGGGCACCTGGAAAATTGGGTCACTCCCACCCTAATACTGCGCTTTTCCAAAGGTCTTAGCAAACAGCACACCAGGAGATTATATCCCGCACCTGGCTCGGAAGGTCCTATGCACATGGAGCCTTGCTCATTGCTAGCACAGCAGTCTGAGATCAAACTGCAAGGTGGAAGCAAGGCTGGGGGAGGGGCGCCCGCCATTGCTGAGGCTTGGGTAGGTAAACAAAGCAGCCTGGAAGCTCGAACTGGGTGGAGCTCATTGCAGCTCAAGGAGGCCTGCCTGCCTCTGTAGACTCCACCTCTGGGGGCAGGGTATTGCCAAACAAAAGGCAGCAGAATCCTCTGCAGACTTAAATGTCCCTGTCTGACAGCTTTGAAGAGAGTAGTGGTTCTCCCAGCACTCAGCTGGAGACCTGAGAACGGACAGACTGCCTTCTCAAGTGGGTCCCTGACCCCTGAGTAGCCTAACTGGGAGGCACCCCCCAGTAGGGGCAGACTGACACCTCACACGGCTGGGTACTCCTCTGAGACAAAACTTCCAGAGTAATGATCAGGCAGCAACATTTGCTGTTCACCAATATCTGCTGTTCTGCAGCCTCCACTGCTGATACCCAGGAAAGCAGCATCTGGACTGGATCTCCAGCAAACTCCAACAGACCTACAGCTGAGGGTCCTGACTGTTAGAAGGAAAACTAACAAAGAGAAAGGACATCTACACCAAAAGCCATCTGTACATCACCATCATCAAAGACCAAAGGTAGATAAAACCACAAAGATGGGAAGAAAACAGAGCAGAAAAACTGGAAACTCTAAAAATCAGAGTGCCTCTCCTCCTCCAAAGGAACACAGCTCCTCACCAGCAATGGAACAAAGCTGGATGGAGAATGACTTTGAAGAGTTGAGAGAAGAAGGCTTCAGACGATCAAACTACTCCGAGCTAAAGGAGGAAGTGCAAACCCATGGCAAAGAAGTTAAAAACCTTGAAAAAAAATTAGATGAATGACTAACTAGAATAACCAATGCAGAGAACTCCTTAAAAGACCTGATGGAGCTGAAAACTAAGGCATGAGAACTACGTGACGAATGCACAAGTTTCAGTAGTCAATTCGATCAACTGGAAGAAAGGGTATCAGTGATGGAAGATCAAATGAATGAAATGAAATGAGAAGAGAAGTTTAGAGAAAAAAGAATAAAAAAAAATGAACAAAGCCTCCAAGAAATATGGGACTATGTGAAAAGACCAAATCTACATCTGATTGGTGTACCTGAAAGTGACTGGGAGAATGGAACCAAGTTGGAAAACACTCTGCAGGATATCATCCAGGAGAACTTCCCCAATCTAGCAAGGCAGGCCAACATTTGAATTCAGGAAATACAGAGAATGCCACAAAGATACTCCTTGAGAAGAGCAACTCCAAGACACATAATTGTCAGATTCACCAAAGTTGAAATGAAGGAAAAAATGTTAAGGGCAGCCAGAGAGAAAGGTCGGGTTACCCTCAAAGGGAAGCCCATTAGACTAACAGCTGATCTCTTGGCAGAAACTCTACAAGCCAGAAGAGAGTGGGGGCCAATATTCAACACTCCTAAAGAAAAGAAATTTCAACCCAGAATTTCATAAGCTTCACAAGTGAAGGAGAAATAAAATACTTTACAGACAAGCAAATGCTGAGAGATTTTGTCATCACCAGGCCTGCCCTAAAAGAGCTCCTGAAGGAAACACTAAACATGGAAAGGAACAACCCATACCAGCCACTGCAAAAACATGCCAAATTGTAAAGACCATTGAGGCTAGTAAGAAACTGCATCAAGTAATGAGCAAAATAACCAGCTAACATCAGAATGACAGGATCAAATTAACAAATAACAATATTAACCTTAAATGTAAATGGACTAAATGCTCCAATTAAAAGACACAGACTGGCAAATTGGATAGAGTCAAGACCCATCAGTGTGCTGTATTCAGGAAACCCATCTCAAGTGCAGAGACACACATAGGCTCAAAATAAAGGGATGGAGGAAGATCTACCAAGAAAATGGAAAACAAAAAAAGGCAGGGGTTGCAATCCTAGTCTCTGAGAAAACAGACTTTAAACCAACAAAGATCAAAAGAGACAAAGGAGGCCATTACATAATGGTAAAGGGATCAATTCAACAAGAAGAGCTAACTATCCTAAATATACACGCACCCAATACAGGAGCACCCAGATTCATAAAGCAAGTCCTTAGAGACCTACAAAGAGACTTAGACTCCCACACAATAATAATGGGAGACTTTAACACCCCACTGTCAACATTGGACAGAACAATGAGATAGAAAGTTAACAAGGATATCCAGGAATTGAACTCAGCTCTGCACCAAGCAGACCTAATAGACATATACAGAACTCTCCACCCCAAATCAACAGAATATACATTCTTCTCAGCACCATGCTGCACTTATTCCAAAATTCACCACACAGTTGGAAGTAAAGCACTCCTCAGCAAATGTAAAAGAACAGGAATTACAACAAACTGTCTCTCAGACCACAGTGCAATCAAACTAGAACTCATGATTAAGAAACTCACTCAAAACTGCTCAACTACATGGAAGTTGAACAACCTGCTCCTGAATGACTACTGGGTACTTAACAAAATGAAGGCAGAAATAAAGATGTTCTTTGAAACCAATGAGAACAAAGACACAACATACCAGAATCTCTGGGACACATTCAAAGCAGTGTGTAGAGGGAAATTTATAGCGCTAAATGCCCACAACAGAAAGCAGGAAAGATCTAAAATTGACACCCTAACATCACAATTAAAAGAACTAGAGAAGCAAGAGCAAACACATTCAAAAGCTAGCAGAAGGCAAGAAATAACTAAGATAAGGAAATAGAGACACAAAAAACCTTCAAAAAATGAATAAATCCAGGAGCTGCTTTTTGAAAAGATCAACAAAATTGATATACCACTCGCAAGACTAATAAAGAAGAAAAGAGATAAGAATCAAATAGACACAATAAAAAATGATAAAGGGGATATCACCACCAATCCCACAGAAATACAACCTACTATCAGAGAATACTATAAACACCTCTACGCAAATAAACTAGAAAATCTAGAAGAAATGGATAAATTCCTCGACACATACACCCTCCCAAGACTAAACCAGGAAGAAGTTGAATCTCTGAATGGACCAATAACAGGATCTGAAATTGAAGCAATAATTAATAGCTTACCAACCAAAAAGAGTCCAGGAACAGACGGATTCACAGCCGAATTCTACCAGAGGTACAAGGAGGAGCTGGTACCATTCCTTCTGAAACTATTCCAATCAATAGAAAAAGAGGGAATCCTCCCTAACTCATTTTATGAGGCCAGCATCATTCTGATACCAAAGCCTGGCAGAGACACAACAAAAAAAGAGAATTTTAGACCAATATCCCTGATGAACATCGATGCAAATATCATCAATAAACTACTGGCAAACCGAATCCAGCAGCACATCAAAAAGCTTATCCACCATGATCAAGTGGGCTTCATCCCTGTGATTCAAGGCTGGTTGAACATATGCAAATCAATAAACATAATCCAGCATATAAACAGAACCAAAGACAAAAACCACACGATTATCTCAATAGATGCAGAGAAGCCCTTTGACAAAATTCAACAGCCCTTCATGCTAAAAACTCTCAATAAATTAGGTATTAATGGGACGTATCTTAAAATAATAACAGCTATCTATGACAAACCCACAGCCAATATCATACTGAATGGGCAAAAACTGGAATCATTCCCTTTGAAAACTGGCACAAGACAGGGATGCCCTCTCTCACCACTCCTATTCAACATAGTGTTGGAAGTTCTGGCCAGGGCAATCAGGCAGGAGAAGGAAATAAAGGGTATTCAATTAGGAAAGGAGGAAGTCACATTGTCCCTGTTTGCAGATGACATGGTTGTATATCTATAAAACCCCATCATCTCAGCCCAAAATCTCCTTAAGCTGATAGGCATCTTCAGCAAAGTCTCAGGATACAAAATGAATGTGCAAACATCAAAGCAATCCTATACACCAATAACAGACAAACAGAGAGCCAAATCATGAGTGAACTCCCATTCACAATTGCTTCAAAGAGAATAAAATACCTAGGAATCCAACTTACAAGGGATGTGAAGGATCTCTTCAAGGAGAACTACAAACCACTGCTCAATGAAAGAAAAGAGGATACAAACAAATGGAAGAACATTCCATCCTCATGGGTAGGAAGAATCAATATTGTGAAAATGGCCATACCGCCTAAGGTAATTTATAGATTCAATGCCATCCTCATCAAGCTACCAAAGACTTTCTTCACAGAATTGGAAAAAACTACTTTAAAGTTCATATGGAACCAAAACAGAAATCCCACAAAAATTTAGAATACCAATCCAGAATAATAGTAATGCTAATTCAAATTAAACTCAAAGAGCAAGAATGTCTTAACCTAAAAAAATACGAAATTTAAACATTAAGGAAATGAAGCATTTAATTCAAAAAATTATTAAGTGTCTTATACAATAATGTAGGACACCACTCTCTCTCAAACCCCATAGGAAGTATTTAACGGATGTGAAATCATAAGATAACAACTTAGAAAAACAGGAAACATGATGAATAAATAAAGCCTGGAGTGATTTCTTG
The DNA here is from genome assembly GCF_000001405.40 of Homo sapiens. Classification (NCBI taxonomy): domain Eukaryota; kingdom Metazoa; phylum Chordata; class Mammalia; order Primates; family Hominidae; genus Homo; species Homo sapiens. Next base: position 84,091,553 of record NC_000003.12, read on the forward strand.
GAAAACACATGGACTCTCATGAAGTTAATGTAGTCAAGGACAAAGGAAAAAATTGTCGGATACACAAAAGTGAAATGATAATAGAAAACTAAGCATCAAAAGAAAGAAACAACTTCTGAAACTTTGTGCAAATAAATTTGAAAACATAAAAATATATGAGTTTCATTTTATGTAAATATAAATAAACAATTCCAGCAAAGAGAAAATAACATTGAAAAATCAAAGACCAAATTTATATATGAATATCGAAGCAAAAAACCTTAGATAAATGATACACATAATCAATGAAAAGAACAATATAACTAATTAGGGCATCTTAGGATAATGTAAAAAACAATACAATAAAATCCATTAAGATGAATCATATTATTGACCTAAAGAAAATAACAACTATAAGTATTCTATATATTTCATATGTAATAAAAGCACTCACAAAAGAATCCATAAATCTTTTAAATAAAACATTCTTAATAAAATAGCAATAGAATAATGATATATTTAAGTTTCTGGATTGATTAAAAATGTTTTTCTCATTAAAATGAGAAAAAGATGAAGATGCTATAATTTGTCAATATTAAGCACTAATATTAAACAACAGTAGGAAATAGCTGATATAAGCAGATGAGAGAAATACATATAGAAATTCTGAATATAAAATGTATTTTAATTTACAGATGATGTTAATGTTTCTCTAAAAACATAAAGGATCATTTAAAAATCTATTACAAATAATGTAATACATTTAATCACTTTTCTGGGTATAAAGTTAATGTGCATAAATCAATTTATTCATAAACAATTTAAAAGCCGGAGAAAATACACTAAATTATATAGTGACAAAATACGAAATACCTAGGAAAAATTATCAAGAAATATTTAGAATTTATTTAAGGAATTTTTTTAATGTTAATGAGGAATATCAAAGAAATCAAACAAATATAGAGATAGTACAGGTTGTGAACACAAACATAACATCATTAACTTGTCAATTCATTCTAGAAACTTTAGAAATCTAAAACCAAAAGTAGAGTTTTAAAGATCTAGAAATATTTTTTGAGGAATAGAGAAAGTGAACCAGGTATTCTAAAATTAAAAGTAAATATAAACATCAATAATATTTCAGAAAAAATATGGAAGGGGACTATTCTTACTGGCCATTACTTTGAATTTTAAAGCTTACATAATAAAGATACTGTAGTTATTGTAGACAAATTAGTAGAATATAAAGTCCAGAAAGAATTGAAAATATATATAACATTATCTACAGTGAAAGTGTTATTTCTAAACAATTGGTAAAGATGCACTTTTTAATTTAAAAAAGTTAGAAAAACAGGAAAAAAAGTTTGGACATCTCATGATAACTTAGAATAAATTACAAAGGGATTTTAAGATTAAATGTGAAACTAAGACCATGAAAGTCGTATAAGTTAGCAAACGAGAATGTGAAAAGTCTTCATAAAAATAAACCCAGTTGCCTTGAAAGAAATGAAAGGGTGGTTTTTGTCCACATTAAACACAAACAAACTGAGAAACAAAGAAAACACTGTAAAAAGAGTCAAAAAGCACTTTACAAAAGAAAATATTTATACCTCATAAAAAAGAACAAAGAGCAAATTGTCTTAATACATGAAAAGCTTCTAAAGTCTGTATGAAAAATGCTTACACTCTTGCAATAAATTTAATATGAACTATGAAAAGACAGAACAAGTAAAATATAAATGTCTCTCAAATATGAAAAATGCTACATTGAACACACAAAGGAAAGATAATATTTGCAATTATAAAAACAATCTTTTATCCATAAGCTTTTAAAATATTAAACATTTTGTGAATCACTGAATTACTTTATCCATAAGCTTTAAAAATATTAAACATTGTGTAAATCACTGAATTGGAGTGAGTTTCAAGAAACAACATTCCTGGAGATATTAGAAATTATATACCTTCATCTAAGAGTTTGGAAAGTTTATAAAATCCTGAAAATGTATTCTCCAGTCAAAAACACATATGTGTGAAGTGACATTTGAATTTGAACATATCAACAGGCGATTCTGCATAGGTCTCTGTGGGTGTGCATTTCTGTGAGAAGCAGCATTAACAGTCTTTGTTTGAATCCTCTTTGTTCTAGAACCTTTTCAAAAACTTTTATACAGTAAATGTCTTTGGAAAATAGAAATAATATCTCACTCCAGAGAAATGGTAGGTTTATTTACTATACAGTCAAATAATAATAATATCTCTCTCTGGGGCAAAATTCAGGCAAACTTACTGCCCAGGGCTTAAACTCTGAGTTCTCCTGTGATATCAACCCCTGAGTGTGCAGGCATCACTTTTCCCTCTTTAATCACTGGGGCTTTGGAAATCAGTGCAAATATCAATTCTCCAGCTACTGCTTGTGCTAGGGGTAATATGGTTTTTGTCTATAGCACAAGAGTCTCATATGTTTTGTTAGCATCCACAAAACTGTGGCATGATAAATTGTAAATTTGAGATTAAGGTAAATTTTTAGACCATTTTGATCTTGGTGAAATAGTCAATGCTTTATTATTTGTAATATCAAATTGTGTCAAAACCGAAATGCCCAGCAGAAGATACAGGTTACATAAATTATATCAAAATACTTAATATTATTAAGTTATTGATCATCATGTTAGCTTTGCATTTACTGATAACAAGTCCAAGATATATCTTTTAAAGAAGAAAGTAATGCAAAAACATTTTGTAAAATTTGGTACCATGTGTATAAACACATTTTTTAAAAACATGAATTAAGAGACACTATTTAAATTAAAAAGTCATGATGAAGACTTCAGCCCAGACTATGCACACTCCTATTTTCTTCTCTTACTTGCTAAGCACAATTAAAACCCAGGAAATATGCACAATTATAAACCCAGGAAATGTATAAGATAAAAGAAAAATTCTAAAAGGCATTTAGCACCTTTTAAAATGTAAAGTGAAGGCCAACTGGTTGTAGACCCAAAAAGTGGAGGAGTAGTGCAGGTTGCATCCCCTGACCCATCAGAAGAAGGCCACTGAGACCCACTGTTTTCCAACCACTGCTTTAGCATCAGAAGGCAGCTATAGGCTCATTCCTCTCCTGGAATGAATGTGAGTCCTTCTGGAAATACCAGGTGAATACAACACTACAGGGAAGGTGGATTAATTGGAAGTTTCACTTATTTTTATAAGTGTTCATGTGAAATAATATATTTTCCCACAAAACGTGAACCTCCCATGTTCTGCCAAGAGATACTGAGGTGAACAGGCAGAACAAGCAAGACAAACAGCTGTAACAGGAAGCACAGTCTGGGAAGCTTCTTGTCTCTATGAACTGATACCCTTCACCCACAGACATTGGGACAGGCAGGCAGAATAAAAAAAAGGAAAGCAATTTTTAGCTAGTGACTTAGACTGGACAGCTTCTTTATTCCTTTGGGCCTAGGATTCTCCTACCCGGAAACACAGGGACATCCAGGGGACACCCGTGAGGGACCCCACAACACCTTGCTCCTACCAAGAGAAATCTAGCATCCTGAACTGGAGAAAGGTCTTCCATTTTCTTTTTTTTTTTTTTTAGATGGAATTTCACTCTTATTGACCAGGATGGAGTGCAATGGCACAATCTTGGTTTACTGCAACCTCCACCTTCCGGGTTCAAGCGATTCTTCTGCTTCAGCCTCCAGAGTAGCTGGGATTACAGGCATACTCCACCACGCCCGGCTAATTTTGTATTTTTACTAAAGGTGGGGTTTATCCATGTTGGTCAAGCTGGTCTCGAACTCTCGACTTCAGGTGATCCGCCTGCCTCGGCCTCCCAAAGTGCTGGGATTACAGGCGTGAGCCACTGCACCCAGCCAGGTCTTCCACTTTTTAAGGTAGCAAGAGTCACACCAGATGAACCAAGCAGCCCCAAATAAAATCCCAAATGTTGGGAAAATTAAATTGCCATAAAATTAGGCCAAGACTTGCATGCCAAAACTAAAATAGGACTAACTGCATTATGAAGTAAAATATTTTAATAGAAACTAGAGTCTTCTTACATAATAGACAAAATTCAGAATAAAATTGAAAATCACTCCTTATATTAAGAACTTAGGAAATCACAAATTGAATGGGAAAAAACTGTCGATGCCAATGTGGTGGTGATACAGATGTTTCAGTTATCTGACAAATATGTTAAAGGAGCCATCATAAAGATGTTTCCACATCCAATTAATAATTTTTGAACCAAATTTAAAATAAAACTATTAAAAAATAAAAATTAAAAAACACTCTCAAAGAACTAGAAAACACAGTAAAGGAAATACAAAAGTGAATGGACCTAATAGAAGAGTGGAGTGGAGGCAACAATAGCATTAGTGTAATTGAAGGTAAGACAATGAATTTACCTTATCTGAACACCAGAGAAAAAACAGACTACTACCACTACTACTAATAATAATAAAGAACAGCATCATGTGGACTTGTGAGATAATAAAAAAACTAACATAAACATAATTGGCATACAGAGGAGAAAGGAGAAAAAGATTACAGCTAAAAGAATTATTTGAAGAAATATAGTAACCTCCCCCTTATCTGTGGGAAATTTGTTGCAACATTCCCAGTGGATGCCTGAAACCATTAATGGTATTGATCTCAATTGCCATTAATTGAATCATGTTTCTGCTTATGTCTTCTACCCAAAACTTGAATGCTTGTTTCATCTTCCTAAGCTCTTATCATGCACTGTGGCTATAACTTTTGCAGTTTGAGGTACAACAACAAAACTGGCAAATTATTATTCCTTCTTAATGATTTTACAGATATAAAATGTGTTCTTCCCATAAATTTTAGCAACATCAGCATATAAGTTTCTTTTATTAAGTTGAGAATTTTAAAGAAGCACTTCACTGTTTTTCTTTGGAATAACCAAATTGCTACTATCATTTTTCTTGCACTTAGAGGTCATTATTAAGTAAAATAAGGGTTACTTGAACACAAGCACTGTGATACCATGACAGTGGATCTGATAAACAAAATAGCTATGAAGTCACTAACAGGTGGATAGCATATACACCATGGATATGCTGGATGGAGGAATGATTCATGTCTCAGATAGGTCAGAGCACAAGAACATGAAATGTAATCACTCCACTCAGAATGGCAAGCTTATAAATTATTTCTGGAGTTCTCCATTTAATATTTTCTAACCATTTTACTGCAGAAAATGGAAACCATGAAAAGTGAAAAGGACTACAGTAGTGCCTGAAACCTTCTCAAACTTGCTGCAAGACACAAGCAGATGAATCCAATAAGCTGAGTGAACCTCAAGAGATATCCATGCCATGTCATGAAATAACTGTGAAAATTATAGATAAAGAAAATAACTTGAAAACATCCAGAAAAAGGAAACATTGCCTATAAAAAAATCCAATTTGGATGACTATAACTTGCTCATCTGAAACCATAGAGGCAAGAAGGAAGTATTACAACATGTTTTAAGTGTTGAAAGACTGTGAACTGAAATTCTGTAACTGGCATGACTAGCCTTCAGGAATGAAAAGAAAATAAAACATTTTAGGACAAAGAATATTAAAAAAATATTGTTAGCAGAACAAATAAAAACATTTTGGGACAAAGAAAATTTAAAATAAAATGTTGTTAGCAGACCTATCTTTAAAGATTGTCTAAAATAAATTCTTTAAACAGGAGTAAAAAGTTAAGAGAAAGAATCTTGAAACATCAGGTAGCAAAAGGAATAAAGGAAAGAGCAGACATATGGGCATATATAAGAGATTCTAATTTCCCTCATGTGTTTATATATTGTATTTGATAATTGAAAGAAAAAATTATAACACTATCTGATACACAATGATATTTAAAAGGGGAGAAGGTAAAACAACCTAAATGGAAGTGAAGTTGCAACATTTCACTCAATGTGGTAAAAAGTCAATACCAGTATACTGTAATTCACATATGTATATTACAGTATATGTATTAATAAAAAAATCACAACTAATATAAAACTGTGAAAAACTATACAGATATACATTCAAAATTACTTAAATAAACCAAGACTTTTTAAAATAATATTCAAGTAACCTATAGGAGGGTAAGAAAAAGAAACAAAGGAGTAAGAATCAGAGGAAGTAAATATAAAACAAATAATAAAATGGCACACTTGATTGATAACAGATCAATAATTACATTAGGTGTGAGTGATCTAAATATACCATTCAAAGTTTGGTAGAGCTGGTTAAAAATACAATCCAACTATACGCTAATATACAATATTACAGGTATAAAGTATGTATAATCAAATGTTAATAGGTCATCAAGTATTAAAATTACCAGAGATGAAGATGAACATTATGTAATATTAAAAGGATCAACGTATCAGGAATAAATAACAATCCTAAGTGTACATGTATCACAAAACAGAGCCTCAAAATACATGAAGTAAAACTGAGACAGCTAAAAAAAAAAATACGAGTTCACGAGTATATTTGGGGACTTTAATATACCCTCTCCACGTCAGCAATGAATAGAGCTTCTAGAAACATGCAAAAAGGTTATGAAACATCTGAATAATGCAATCCACTAACAGGACATATTTGACATATATGGAACAGTTCACCCAATAACAGCAGACTATTTTTTTTCACAGGTTTATGGGACCTTAAGATAGAACATATCCTGGGCCATAAAATAGTCCTCAACAGATTTAAAAGAAATGAAATGAAATACCCAGTGTGTTCTGTGACCATAATAAAATCCGACTAAAACACAAAATAACAGAAGGAAAAAAATACATAAATAAACTAATCGTAGAAAATAAACTACAAAATGATCCATGTGTCATGTGTCAGAGAAAGGTTTTCAATAAAATTTTAAATGATTCATATAACTGAATGAAAATAAAAACACAATATGGCAAAATATGAGGAATGCTGAGAGAAAAATATATAGCACTAAATGCTTACATTAAAATGTGAAAAGCTCTTGAGTCAATAATTTCAGTTCCTCAGGGAACTAGAAAATTAGTAAAACATTACAGAAAAACAATGAATCAATATATCTTTTCAAAGAAATTCATAAAATTAATATATCTCCAATGAGACTGACAGAGAGAGAGAGGAAGAGAGAGAGAGAGGAAGCCAAATTATCAATATCAGCAACGAAATACAGGACACCACTATTGATCCTGCAGCCATTAAAAAAGTGTTTAGAGAATTCTATTAACAACTATACACTCATACATTTGACAGATTAGAAGAAATGGAACAATTTCTTGAAAATCACCAACTACTAAAAAGTCAACCAAAATGTAATAGACAATTGAACACCCTATAACCACTAAAAGTAAGAAGTTAGTAGTTAAAAAACACCAGAAGAAAAGGATTTTCAGGATCCAATGTTATCACTGGAGATAACAAACATTAAACCAAGAATTAACACCAATTGTAACTGTTTAATCAAGAACATAGATGAGAAGGAAATGCTCCCCAACTCATTATAGCAGGCCAGTATTATCCAGATATCAACACAAAAAGAGTAGCGGAAAATAAAACTATAGACAAATTTCTATCCTGCACTTAGCCACAAAACCCTCAACAAAATACTGGCAAGCCAAACGTGAAAATATATAGGAGGAGTTATACAATGCTACTATGTGGGATTTATCCTTGTCTGCAAAGGTGGTTCAACATTAAAAAATCTATCAATGTAATCCACCATAGCAACAAGCTAAATAATAAAAAGTACATGATCATATCAATGGAATCACAAAAAGCACTTGACAAAATCCAACATCCTTTTATGCTAGAGACTTGCAGTAAATTAGAATTAGTGGAGTACTATCTTGGCTTGGAAAAGGGCATCTAAAACAAACATAAAAACAAAACCCCACATTTAACATCAACCTAAGATAGGGAGCAAGGCACCAGTCTTATTCAACATAAGAGTAAAAGGTCTAGCCTCTGAAGTAATCAAAAATATTAATAACAATTTAGTGCACACAGATTAGGAGAGAAAAAAATAAAATTATCTCTATTTGCAGACAATATGATTTTTTACATAGAAGACCTCAAATGTCAACAAAACATTAATAAGTGAGTTCTCTGCAAGGTCATAGGACACAAGACCAAAACAAAACAAATAAAAAACTATTCACATTTCTACATAATAATGACTCTACAGAAACTGAATTTTAAAAATGTCATGCTATTTATAATCCTTCCAAACACAATTACTTAAATATAAAATTAACATAGATGAGATTGATATGCTGACAATTACAAAATGATGATGAAAGAAATCAAAGAAGACCATAATAAGTGGAGAGACATACTGTGTTCAGGAGCTGGAAGACTCGATCAAGTAGTGATGCCAGTTCTCCATTAAATTATCTGTAAGAGTAATACAATTGATATCAAAATTCTAGCCAAAAGTTTTTGAAGCCATCAACAAGATAATTATAAAGTTTGTATGGAAGTTACAGTCCGCAGCATGACAAAGGTGAATAACATGAGAGAAATCACAAAACTGGACATAGCTATAGAAGTCAAAACACTGAAGTATTGTTAGAGGCATATACATGTAGAACAATGCAACAGAATAAATAACCCAGAAAGAAAATTGCATAATCATGTTCTATTTATTTATGACAAAGATGGAAACATTATTTAATGGAAGTATAAACTTTTCACCAAATGTTGCTGAAATAGTTGAATATTCATAACCCCAAAAAATGAATGTCAACCTGTAATTCATGCTTTATATAAAATTCAATCAAAATGAATGAGAGACTTAAATGTAAAACATAAAATTGTAAAACTTTTAGAAAAAGTCTTTGAGTTCTAGGACTGTGTAAATTTATCTTAGAATTGATACCACAGCTCAACATAAATGAAAAAGAAAATAAAAGATCAATTGGACTTAACCAAAATCAAACACTTTTGCTCTGTAAATTCACATGTGAAGAAGAATATATTGACATGTCACATATCCATCAAAGGATACAGATATTGTAGTTAGAATATATAAAGGGCTCTAACATTCCAACAGTAATAAAACACACCAATTAGAGAATAAGCAAAAGGCATGAACTGGCATTTCATAGAAACAGAGATGCAAATGGAAAAAAACAAACTAAAAGATGTTCAATTGCACCACTGCACTCAAGCCTGGGTGACAGAGCGAGACTCTGTCTCAAGAAAAACAAACAAAAAACAACAACAATAAAAAGATATTCAATATGATGAACCGTCATGAAATGCAAATTAAACCCCATTGAGATATGATATACATGGATCAGAATGGCTAAATTAACAAAAATAGTAAAAATATCAAATGCTGGTGAGGATGAGTTGAAACTGGGGATAAATTGAAACTGAATTGAAACTGCTGATGGAAATATAAAATGCTACAGTTACTCTGGAAAACAGTTTTTTTGGTTCCTTATAAAAGCAAACATTCAATTACCATATGACCCAGCAATTGCACTCTTGGGCATTTTTCCCAGAAAAAAAATAAAAACTTATGTTCATACGAAAACCTGTATATGAATGTTTGTGCTAGTATTACATAAAAGCAAATCTGGAGTGTACAAAGGGAGACTTTATTTGGAAAGACTAGTGCAATAGGAAAATATGCTGAAGCCGGGAACTTCAAGCATCTCAAAAACAAATAGAAAAATACCCTTTTTAATAGTGTAGGAGGTAAGCAGAGCTCAGCAGAAACTTTTAAGGGGAAGGGGGCAAGCAACGGGAAACGACTACCAAGATCTGACAATGTGCCTGGCAGTAATCAGCCAATTAGAATAAATTAATGGTGGGACATGTTTCCCTTTTTAGAACTCGCTCAGTCTTGGAAAGAAGTACAGTTCAGGTGCATATAGGGAGGCCATAATGTTGACTATAGTTTGGTTAGGACAAACAGGAGATAAGAAATGGGCTGTTGTAAACACTTGGTTAGTTCTCCCCATTGTTTTAGACTGACAAGGTCAGTTCTTAAATGTTACTAGAGATGAAATAAGAGTCATTGTGAGGTTGGGATTGAACCAAGTGGTTTTCAGGGGGTGAGCTGGCCTTCATGTTCTTGTTGGCTTTCAAAGACTAGCTGTATCATCTGTTGACTTTGCTATCTTCCTGGAGCATTTGAGGAAGTTAGGCATTTAATGAAAGGTATACCTAGAGATTTAATAAACAGAACTATTATTAAAAGTTGAATAAAGTAATAGAAACAACTGTAGAGTTTTGAAGGCAGGCTGTTGAAAGGCTTCTAGAATATGGAGCGCAAATTTAAATTGAGTGAGGATGATAGAATGAGGATGACAGTGGCAAGCCAATATATTTTTCAGTTAGCTGTCTGAATATTTTTGGCGATGGCAGAGTCATCAGAGATATTTTGGGAAATATATGCACAATGATCATTTCTGACTACGGCACACGGGTCTAGGATTGAAGCCTCTGGAGTTTGGCAGCAGTATTGGTAGTAAGGCATACAATGTGAAAGCTCTTCCCACAGGATTTAAGATTAGTTTCCTTGTGATATGGCTTGTAAAGAACAAGGTCTCTACTACTGGAGGAAAAGCAGCCTCAATCTGTTGGTGACAAATATGCAGGTAATTAATCACTTCCTTGAAGCATTTTAGAATATCTGAATTGGCCAAAATTTTATGGGTCAGCCTTCTGTTATTTTTTATGGAGCAGTTGCTGTGACCCAGCAGGAAAGGACAGAAGAGCAATCAGGACTAAAGATAAAAACTTGGGTTATAAAGATTGAGTTTTTGTGTCAGTTTATAAAGTTTTAACTGTAACAATCTATTAGCACTCATTATTATTTCATGTGACTGGGGATTATGAGGACAATGCAGTTTTTGGCATGAAGAAAAAACTCAAATTTATTGGATGGTTTTACTGGTGAAAGAGAATTAATCATGTGAGGAATACTTTCTTTGATAAAAGTTTAGCAACTTAAAAACAGCATTGGTCCCTCTAAAAGTGATAGTTTCCAGGCAGTGAGAGAACATGCAGATGAAATGAAAAACATATTTATAACTATGATATTTAAGGAACTGGATAAAATCTAACTGCAAATTTGAAAAAAAAGGTCTTAAATATCTGTATAATAAAAATTCATAGATAAGTGATAAATACCCAATTGTAAATTGCTGGCCTAGACTATGTTGTATTTAAATTAAAGAAGTGTAATTATGGTCAATTTAGCATTTAAAGAAGTAATTGATATTCTGACCAATAACATTGCATTGTTGTCTTAATGTCAGATACGGCAAAATTAAGGCTCTGATAAATAGAAACATATTATGGACAATGAGGGTGTTGTAAAAACCCTAGGAATTGTAAATGTTTTAATATATTAGTATTTTAAATATTATATTAAAAATAAGAATATTTTAACAATAGAAATTTGATATAGAGGTTAATCATCCTTTTTGACAACACATCCTATGTAATTTGTATAGTATTAAGTAAATCAAACTATTTTTTAGCACCACTATTTTTAGAAGGTGAAAGAACAAATCATTTGTGATTTTCCTGGGGTCCTCTAGGAAATACAAAAGTTAGATTTATGTGTAAAAGTTGTCATTCAGTATTTAATTTGGGGAAGGCAAAATGTCCAAAGTTTTCCAGAAGTTTGAACATTTGGTTAAATAAGATCATAGGTCACTGAGAACCTATACTTGGCCTATACTTGGCTACCTATATATATATATATATATATTTATTATTATTATTTTTTGAAACTGACTCTCACTCTGTCGCCCAGGCTGGAGTGCAGTGGCGTGATCTCGGCTCACTGCAACCTCCACCTCCAGGGTTCAAGTGATTCTCCTGCCTCAGCCTCCCAAGTAGCTGGGATTACAGGTGCCCGCCACTACGTCCAGCTAATTTTTTGTATTTTTAGTAGAGACGGGGTTTCACCATGTTGGCCAGGCTGGTCTTGAACTCATGACCCCATGATCTGCCCTCCTTGGCCTCCCAAAGTGTTGGGATTACAGGCGTGAGCCACAGTGCCCAGCCTTGGCTACATATTTAGTCACATTGACAATAAACTGTTTTAAAAGTAAGCATGTGAGGTAATATGATTATTAAAAAAAAGCTCACTCTTGTAAAAGTTAGAAGACTTTAAAAAAAAATCAAGGACATGATAAAGTCAACATAAAGAATAAAAAACAATTCTGATCAAACAGAATCTCTGCCTTTTAGGCAGATTAAGTAGAAGGTTAAAAAAACAAACATTTCTACAACTTCTTTTTAGTAGTAGACCAATAATCCAATAACATCTTAACAGCAGGAAAACCAAATTCTGGTTTTGTATCAGTGCATTATTTAATATTAAAGTTGTTTTAATCTCATAAATAAGCCCATTACCAGCTTTGACCACGACAAATAAAATTCCATTTCTGTGAAACCTTAGTAACTTTTTATGTTAATTTAAGTTTTATCTTATATCTTTTTATTTTTAAAAAATTCTGGAACAACAACTCACTGTATTTTATGATGAAATTAGTCTTTTTTCCTTTAAACACACACACACACACACACACTCTCTCTCTCTCTCTCTCTCTCTCTCTCTCTCTGCCTACCTTGAGTACCTTAATTTACCTGAAGTCTAGGGTTTTAAGTTAATAAAAGGTTTGAAAACTGTCCTTAAGGTGACATATTAATGACATATTGTACATAATTATGTTGAAACAAAGTTTGTCAGAATAGTGACTCCATTTTGTTAAATGTATATTTATATTTTGATAATGGCTAACACCTAGTATAATGCTTGTTCTTGTGGGAAAAATTCAGGTTCAAGAGATATTGACAGTGAAACTGAAATATCTCCTTACGTATAAAGTATACTTTTCCCTGTATAACTCCTTTTTAGTTATTTCTTTATCCAACATTAGACAAATAGAAAACAGTGATGATTTCCTGTTATCTCTTTCTTTTGGTCTTTTTATGTTATTTTACATAAATTGAAGGTACTCGTAACCTACAAATCTTGCAGTTAAGAACCAAAACTTCTTTTTATAGTGTAATATGCAAGCATGAATATTTACTGAAGAATCTACCTACAAATGCACGGACTTTATTTTTTGTGTTTTTATATTTTAAAAGAAGAGTTCTCCATAAATAGCATTATTTCTTTCAGAAATGAACTAATTGTATAGTGCTGAATGGTGAATTTTGGACTATTTTCAAATGTATCAGGAATAAGACTGCCACCTTGGTTGACACTATATCGACTCACTGATTTTCTGTTATGATCAATTCAATGGGTCAGGAATAATAACTATGAGATGAAATTACCATAAATGAAGATGTTACATGTTTAAACTCTGACAAAAAAGTACGTGTATAAGTTTAGAAAGCATACTCTCAAGTAGAATAAAAATATGTTTATTTTATACTTAATATTGAAAATTCAGAACACATAGCTATTTATATTAAACCAATAATATTAGACTTTTGCCAAAGATTATATTAATGTGAACTTGGATTTTTGAAATATTTGGGTAAGTTTTATAATAGTATTTTTTCACATTGAAAGTATTAGAAGTTCAGTGTTTTATTTAATTTCTGAGAGTTCGAGTAATATTCAGTTTAGATAAGTATTTATGTACCTTTAACCCATTAGACTAGAGCAACCTTAGGAATTTTACAAGCTAATTTGGTACTGCCATTCAGAGCTAAGAAAATATCACACTTATATCAGATAAATATATGCATACATACATTAATACATACATATACAGGTGAACATAAAGACAGACACAAGGTGATAGCTTTAATTCTAAAATTTAAGCTATGAATGAGTCAGATATAAATACAAAAATACAGGAGACATTGGTTATATAACAGAGTTGGCTCACCAATGTTTGTGGAGGAAACTTAAGACCTTCTCTGCCCTTATATGTAATCTTATGGTTTGGATGACACCACATGACCATATGGTTATCTCCACTATTCATCAGAGTGGATAAAATATGCAATCTATTTCAAATGATTTTTTTTTCGGCTACAGGTGGCTGCTCTGGGAATCCCTGGGTTCCCAAAATTCCTTAATGTGGGCAGGATGCACAAAGTTCTAGTGACTTAGGCAGCTAAGGACCTGGACTGAGAGGAGAAAAGTCTGTCAAGGGTGGCTAGATGTGTGAAGGAGGTAGAGATACTGAAGGAGAACAGATCAAGAGATTCAGGGACCTAAAGGGAAAGTCAAAGGTGGTTACAAAGGAGGAAGGAGGAACAGGGATGGTGAGAAGGCAGAGGTTTAGATGAACCAGTTAGGGAAGATCTCAAATTTCCTAAACAGATTATTAAAGTTTCAAAATATCCTCTGTAAATTTTTGCCATTTTAAAGACATTAGACAGAATTAGTGCCAGAACAGCAGAGCATATAGGCAACAAATATAAAAGATGCTGAACATCAAGTAGATTGAGAGTTACCACTTGAAGGAAGAGGACAATTTAGTTGAAAAGAAGCAAAGGAGAAAAAAATTTTTCTAGAAAGTTCCATGCACAATCCTGACTGGGAGTAAAGGAGTCTCTCACACAATCCTTGTTGTGGTACTGATTGTGGTACTGAAGGACCTGCTCTATACAATCTACAGAAACTGAACCAGGAAAAGTAGAGGCCTCATGAAAGAGCAAGGAATTTCCTACTTTACAGTCAGGAGTAAATCCCCAAGAAGATCCAAGAAGACTTTCATCCAGGAAGATTCTTGTTCAAATAAAAAAGAACGCAGTAGAACCTGTTGTTGCCAGGTGTTATGGACAGGAGCAAGATGCAGGAGGGAAATGGGTGTGGCTGTTAAAAGAGGGAATTTTGCTTTGCTGGAAATATTCAGTATCTTTTCCATGATGATGGATACAGAATCTACACAGATGATAAAATTGTATCAAGCTTAACACACACACACACACACAACTACATATAAATAAAACGGGGAAATTTGCATAGAATTTGTGGATTATATCAATATCTATATCTGTCTGTCATATAATATAGTTTTGTAAAATGTTTCTATTGAGAAAAACTGGACAAAATACACGAGGAATCTCTCTGTATTATTTCTTACAAGTGTATGTGAACCTACAATTACTCAATAAAAATTTCAATTCAGGCCAGGCACAGTGGCACATGCCTGTAATCCCAGCACTTTGGGGGGCTGAGCAGTTGAATCATCTGAGGTCAGGAATTTAAGATCAGTCTGGCCAACATGGCAAAACCCCATCTCTACTAAAAATACAAAAATTAGCCTGTTGTGGTGGTGTGGCGCCTGTAGTCCTAGCTCCTCGGGAGTTCGAGGCTAGAGAATCACTTGAACCTGGGAAGTGGAGTTTGCAGTGATCTGATATCACGCCACTGCTTTCCATGCACTTCAGCCCAGGAGACAGAGCGAAACTCTGTTAAAAAAAAAAATTCAAATCAAATAAACAAACAAAATAAAACAAGAAAACAAGGTGAGTTCTGAGAAACCAGTCCTATAAAAATGATGAATATGAGCCAAGTGGGGTGGCTCACACCTGTAATCCCAGCACTTTGGGAGGCCCTGTCTTGTGGATTGCTTGAACCCAGGAGTCTCAAAATATCCTGAGGAACATGGTGAGATCCCTCTCTAGAAACATACAAAAATTATCAGGGTGTGGTGGTACAAACCTATAGCTACTCGGGGAGCTGAGGCCGGAGACTGAGGCAGGAGGCTGAGGCGAGAGGACCACCAGAGTCTGGGAGGCAGAGGTTTCTGTGAGCCGAGATTGTGTCATAGCACTCCAGCCTGGGGGACAGAGCAAGACTCTGCCTCAAAACAAAACAAAACAAAAAGAATGATAAATATCGAACCCTGGATGCTAGGAACTTAAGAGACATTATGAAAAGAAATAGAGAAGTTAAAGGTTAGATCTTCCAATTATTTTGTTCAATAGTTACTGGCAGTTTGAAGAGAAAACTCAGTTCAGCATTCCTTAAAAAAAGGTGATATCAATATGTATATACAGTTCATGTAGAAGCAGACAATAAAGAGAAAGAAGGAAGAAAGACAAACGTGAAGTAAATGATCCAAAGTGGAGATTTTAGTTTTGCAATACAATAGGACCAGAATGTTTATAAGAAATCACAAGATAATATGAAACTACCTTTGAATGGTATTTTATGAAGAACTAAATGAATACCAGTTGGTTATTGAAAGTCTACAACTCCTTCATACATTCTCCTTAATGTTGGCACTGTTATCACTCATAAATAAAGGTATTTATTTTTGAGGCAGAGACAAGAAGAAAATTAAGAGCAAAGAGGAAATTCTCTTAAGTCATAAGAAGGATAGTCAAGAATTTCACATGCCATTTCTCACTTTTAATATTATATTGGAAGCTTAAGCATCTATTAAGAGATGAGGGGAAATATACATGACACTTCTAAGAGTGTGGTTGGTTGACTATAGGATTTGCTTTATATAGGGAGAATATCATTAACAGGGAGAAAAATCAAAGATTGAGAGTAAGACACGGGAAAATAAAAATACATTTGGCATAAAAAGGCAGGGAAAATAGGAATATCAGCATTGATTAATTCATAAGATTGGGATATTAAGCAGGACATAATTGAGGGTGATAGCAGTACCTAAAGCAAGAGCATTTTGATGCGTAACAGAAATGAAGAAGAAATAAAAAAATGTGGATTTAAAGTTATTAATTAAACAGGTCAAAGAGCTGTAAATTTACAGTGGTAAAGAGTCATGAAATCTGATGTTTCTTTTCCCAAATACATTGTCAGATAATTTCATGAAACTCTCTTTATATATCTTTCACAATGCATGAGTTTAACACTTATACATAACAAAAAATAATAAATCTGTTAGTTTTAGTGGGGAGAGGGAGGAAGGAAAGTGGCACTGGCTAATTCATTTCTGATAGTGTAGGCAGAGCCTCACTCTGAAGGAATTGAATAACTTACTCAGGGGCAGGTTCTGGCTGACTGCCGCTGGTTCTTGATTGCCATGCTCTCAGGCACTTGATAGCAAGATACTTTCTTTACAGATTCAGCCATGCCCATTATCTCCTTTTAGGAGATTCTCTCAAAAGACCTGACCATAACGTTTTTCAAACTCTCTAGGGTCATTAGCACACTATCTCTCTTTCACCTCTCTCTTATCATTTCCCAGGCTTCAGAAATTCAATTCACTTTTCTGTAAGTTGTTAAAACTCTGGGAATGCAGTTCTCAGTACTTACTAGCTAGGAATGTTTATACAGTATGACAGAATCTATCCATTACTTTCTAAAGTTCTTTACACAATGAAGGCATTGAACAGAATATTCATGATTCACACATGAGGAATAAAAGACTTATTATGCAACCCTCCCGAGGCAGCATTTAGCCTATGACTAATCACAGCTGCATAGTACCTATTAAAACGTACAGCATTCTAAGAATTGCACCTTTTTTCTTCATTTAAGGCCCAAACTAAAAATTTAGATAACCGTCTGTTTCATATAGAATGTTTTAGTTATATAATAATGAATGAGATAGTCATGATGGCTTGATTGTGATTTAATGTTTGGCCAAAAAAAAATTCTTTACAATTTAAGAGATTCATTTACCATAAATATAAAATAAATCAAAACCAACAAATACTGTTTCTCCTCTCATCGTCCTGGATGCCTACTCTCTTTCCAACTGTAATCTTCATAAAGCACATTTCAGGTCAGAGACATTTGCATGCTAAATTTCAGAAATTTTATCTTTCCTTTCATAGAAATGTCTGTTCAAAACTCATTCTAATAGAAAAATAATCTAAATTCATTGTAATATTGTCAGTTCTCAGTAATTGCTATCAGACTTTAATGATTATGTAAAATAAATTCATTTATGTAAATATTAAAATACAAAATTTTACACAACTAAAATTTTATAAGACAAAATGTATCCTCAGTACTCTAGTCAAGAGGTATTTAGAGCATTATATTACCCAATTAAAAACAAAAGGAACAAAAAATCAACAACAAAACTAATAAGTTAAATCTGGCTGTAATTATTTTTCAGTTATATCTGTATATCATTCCAACTTGGAACCTCCAGCTCTGCTGTTTAGATGTATATTGGCAAACAAATGACTTTCCCAAACTGTGTAATTTGTGTAGCCCTTAATACATTCTCTATTAACCACACAAATGTTTTCAGGATTTAAGGAAACCAACAAGGGATATGAAGTACCCTGAGGTTAGCAATAGTAGGAAGCCATTCCCTCTTCCAGATATGAAGAAACAAAAGGATATCAGATTTGAAAACATGAAGAAGGTTCGGGTAGAGTGAGGGTACTATGAATGAAATTATGGTCTTTAGAGAGAGAGACAGCCAACCCACAGCAAATCAGCAAGCAGAGAGCTGAGAAAATAAATATTTTTACTTCACCCACCTTCCTCCTATGCTAATCTTTTACTAAATAAGATTGACTAAACCCAAAGGAAGCAGAAGGATAAAAGAGTTCATTGATACAGCCAATACAGCTTAGACTAGCTAGAAAGGCAAAAAGAAATTATTATGGATTATCCTGTGTAATACACTGTAAGTGTTTCAAATACTAAGAAAAAGAGGTACTTAACATTCCCCTCAGTCTGACTAAGCTTTAGACACTCTTCCTCCTGACTCCCTTTTCTTAGAGCATTTGCTTTATAAAACTTGTAATTATAAAGTTTTCTCTGCCTTTTTGAGATGCAAATACTTTTAATTTTCTTGCCAGTTATAGAACTCAGGAATGTCTTTCTCAAGGGCCTGCAAGCTATGTCTTTAAAATGTAATCACTGAGAAAGATGTATATGTATATCAAAATGTTATATTACACAACTTAAATATACACAATAAAATGAAATACAACACTATTTAAGAAAGAAAGAACAATATTGCTCTTATCTCCCAGTTACTGTGGGATGGTAGCACCTTAACTTCAACATGTGCTTGCTCCAAGTTGTAAAACTACCTCCTTCAGCATAGAAGATAGCTTATTTTTCATTTGGATATAGTCAATTAGCAAACACAGGTGGTCTATGATATCCACTCCACATCTTAAAAACTCTCCAGCCTTTTGTAGCCTGTGAATTCTGGCTTTTCTCCCCTTTTGTGGTAGCCTTGAATAAAATCTTCCTCATCTGTTTAATTTTCACAGAACAATTTTTGCTTTGATAACTCTAATGATTTACTTTAAAATATGCATGTATGTTAATCCAGAACATTGCCAAAAGTTATGCTAGAGATTTATCCTTTAATTATATTTATATATTTTTTCAAATAGGACAATTACAAGCACACCAGAAACATAATCTGCTGATTATCTTAGTTTGAGGACCTTAGGAACAGGGCCTGAAAGATTCTACTGCTTGGGCTCTATTGAGGGAGTGCTCTCAGGTAAACACTGTAAGGTAATGAAGGAATCAGGACAGCACAGTGATGGGGGGTGGATAGACAAAGCTGTGGGCTCCCCTGAGCAGCCTTTTGTGCCCCAGAGGCAGCCATTGTTTCAGGCTGCACCTGGGAATTTCCAGGTCAAGTTCTTCTATGGATGGAGCACAATGTTCAGAAAAAAGTGCAGCTGCAAATTATTAGCACTTAATAATTAGAACAGCTAAGGAAATAGGTGCATCTGCTCAGTAAAGGGAATCTGGGTTGGCACCAATGAAGTCTACTACAAGTAGCATTTACAGTAAACATATCTCCAGTCTCCAGAACTGGCTTTATTATAGGTTTTGCTATTTGTCAAAAATTCTTCTTCTTAGGAGACAATGTATTTGAGAACAATAAAAATCTTGAAATATTTGAAGTATTATATCACTAATTATATAATTTCATTCTCTATATAAGACTGCTAATATAGTACCACTTAGAATACTCTGTTTCTGCTTAATGTCTTCAGTTAGTAGTTAGCTAAACATTATACCAAGCATTTTAGTTATATACCCTATCACTACTATTATTAAATACTATTATTAAATATTTATTTAAAATGATATGGCTTTACATAGAATATATTTCACTCAAGAGTGTGCCTTTACAGGAGAATCACTTGAACCCGGGAGGTGGAGTTGGAGGTTGAAGCGAGCAGAGATTTTGTCACCACACTCCAGCCTGGGCGACAGAGCAAGACTCTGTCTCAGAAAAAAAAAAAAAAAATAGAGTGTGCCTTTATATAATTTTTGTTAATGAGTTACAGTAATTTTAATGAAAGGTACATAGTCTAAGGATTTATTTTCTTTACAACACAATTATAAAAGGAAAGAACATAGTTGAAACTCCACAAATTATGCACTTTTCCCCTTTTTTGCTTTTAAAAAATTCATATTTATGTTTTGTTTTTCATTTTTTATTTCTGTGAGAACATGTTAGGTGTATATATTTATAGGGTACATGAAGAATTTTGACACAGGCATAACACATAATAATCACATTAGAGTAAATAAGGTATCATCTATCACCTTAAGCATTTATTATTTCTTTGTGTTACAAACATCCCAATTGTACCTATTAGTTCTTTTAAAATGTGCAATAGATTATTGTTCACTATAGTCACCCTGTTTTGCTATCAAACACTAGATCTTATTCTATTGAACTATATTTTTCTACCCATTATCCATCCCCAATCCCCACCCCGTCCCCCACCCCCCACTGCCACATGACCATTCCCTGCCTCTGGTAATCATCCTTTCCCTCTCTATCTCCATGAGTTCAACTGCTTTCATTTTAAGCTCCCACAAATGCGTGAGAATAAGCAAAATTTGTCTTTTCTGTGCATAGCTTATTTCTCTTAACATGATGCTCCCCAGTTTTATTAATGTTGTTGCAAATAACAGGATTTCATTTTTTATGGCTAAATAATACTCCACTGTGTGTTTGTGCTACATTTTCTTTATCCATTCATCTATTGATGGACACTTAAGATTGCTTCCAAATCTTGGGTCTTGTGAATAGTGCTGCAGTAAACCTGAAAGTGCAGATATCCCTTTGATGTACTGATATCCTTTCCTTGGGGTATATACCTAGCAGTGGAATTGCTGGATTCTATGATATTTCTATTTTTAGTTTTTTGAGGAATCTCCATATGGTTCTTCATAGTGGTTGTATTAATTTACATTTCCACCAAAGACCCTTTTCTTATTAATCATCTCTGTGCTCTGTTGAAGTTTCACCATGTGGCTTACTCTTTACATTCAGTAACAGATACTTGCCTTAGATTCTAAAATGACATTTCTATTAATAATCAAAACCAGGGGGAAAAAAAACTTTCAAAAATTTTTTAAATGAAAAAAAATCACATTATTCAAAAAACAGAAGTGAACCTGACAGAGTCCCCTAGGTTTTTTTTTTCCTACATATCTGCTTGTATCCCTTTAAAATACAAATAAAATATTAATTCTAACAGAATATTAATATCATGTAATTAAATGTTAATATTAACTGACACCATTGTACTGTTAATTATTAATATTTATTGGATATTAACATTAAGTTTTAATAACACAAAATATCTATGTCAACTAAGTGAAGAAACCAGAACAATTTGCTCAAATATGTTAAAAACTGTAAGAGAAAAAATGTAATATGTTCTTGTTTATCAACTTACTCCATTTCATAGAATTATCAAAATATGTAGATACAATTGCAATATGCATCAGTATTAAAATCCAAATTATTATTGCCTTGTCTTTTAAGCTATTAGTTTGGAGTTTTGCAGTGTAATGAATTCTCCAACCAGAACTGATGGGCTTCCTTGGCTTCCAGGTATCTTATTGGAAGTTGAACTATTATATCCTTGGTAAATAACACATTGAAAAAGTCAACAAATTCTACCTTCCCTCAAGCAATGAGATAATGTAGTACATTATTATCATCATTACACTTTGTTGCTCTCTCTGTCTCTCTTTGTAATCCATCCTGTCTACATCTTGGTGAATTATTTCAATCTACAACATTGCATTGTTCCTTTTATTTTTATCTACAGAATTTTTACCTTTACATCTTTAATTTGCTCTGGTTTTGAGTATTGCACCTCTATCCCTTTTTGTTTAATATTTGTTTGTTATATCCTTTATATACCTTTATTTGTATATTTCTTGTGTGTGTGTATGATTTATGTACCTTTCTTGAAGACTCAATATATTTTTCATATTGTTTCAAGCCACTGAAATGAACAATGGAAAATATGAAGAGCCTTGAAAACATCCATAGACTGAAGTAGATGGCTTAATTCTTATCAAAAGTCAGCACTGATGTATGCCTTTTACAGCTTCTCCCAGCAACATTGAACAATTTTCACATTTACTAAGCGATTCTCACTTGGTCCCAAATGTCATCACTTATCTTTTTTGAGAAGTAGAAGCAGGTGTCATGGTTCTTCTCACTTATATATTTTATAAATTTCTGGCACATCACAGGCTTTCATATTGAATATCTGATTCTACAAGCATTTTAGTCCAGAATTAAAATGGGAATATATGTTAGGTGTGGAGCATGGCTCATAACAATATATAGTGACTAAGAAAGAGAGAAGAAAGATCTATTTCAATAGTGTGTCATGATCATGGAATTGAAGTAGGGAGGCTTATTATACTTACCCAGTGCTTTCGTAATCCTGACTGTCACATTTCAGCGATATAACTATGGAAAAATTATTATTGACTTAAAGTTTCAATTTTCTAAAGTACTCAATGGGAATAATAGTACCTACTTTTATCACATTAAAAGGCTTATGCACACACCTTCACTGGTACTTCAAGAATTTTAGGTTTTGAAATTCAACTTTGATATACGCAATTTAATGAGCTCTCATTACTCATTAAAGATGGTAAAACAATGAAGAACTACATTGTTATTTTCTGTATCATTTTACTTTACTATTTTGATTACAAAGAACATTTACAGTCACTTAAAATGCAGTAAGTTGACATTGTATTTTAAATTTATGTAAACTAAAATTTAAATTTATGTAAACTAAAATTTAAATTTAAGTTTAATTTAATTTTGGTACTGAAATTTAAAAAAAAATTTTTTTTAAATCTTTATTTTTATTTTTTTGAGACAGTCTTGCTCTGTTGCCGAGGCTTGTTCTTTGCTCACTGCAACCTCTGCCTCCTGGGATCAAGCGATTCTTGTGCCCCAGAGTCCTGAATAGCTGGGATTATGGGCAATTGCCACCACACTGAGCTAATTTTTGTATTTTTAGTAGAGACTGGGTTTCACCATGTTGGGCTAGGCTGGTCTCAAACTCCTGCCCTCAAGTGATCCCCCCGCCTCGGCCTCCCAAAGTGCTGGGATTACAGGTGTAAGCCACTGTGCCCAGCCAACATCTTTAAATTATGAAATATTATCATAATATTGGGAAATTTTGCATACAATTCTTTTTACATTTTAAAATTCTTGCTTGTTTTATCAAAAAAGCACTCAAAATTATTTTAAAGTATTAAAATGACAGAATTAATGGCTATTTATTTAAGGTAGACTGAGTTCATATAGTTTTTGCTTTCCATTTGTAATGCTAAAGTAAAGGTATTACTGAAGAGATTATAATTATGTAAAATGGAAAAAAGCACCTTTAAATTGAAAGAGTAATTTAATGTTAACATGAATAAAACTGAATATAATGCAGACTTAGTAACAGAAATGTACTTAAAGCCAATTTAAATTATAATAGTTGATTTATAGTATATTACAGTTATTACTTAGACAAAATGCCATTTTCCAGGGAATTTTTAAGAAAGAGAGATGGAGAGAGGAAGAGAGTGAAGGAGGGAGAGAGGAGGAAAGGAACAGAAAGAGAAAGAAAGAGAGTAATTTGTTAAAACAATTATACAAAGCACTAATTTTACCTCTATTTTATAGATGTGAAAGCTGAAGCACAGAAATATTAACGAATTTTCCAAGGTTATATAGCAAGTAAGTATGCAGCCTTGTGTTATGTGTGTCCACATGAAGAGACCACCAAACAGCCTTTGTGTGAGCAATAAACCTTTTTAATCACCTGGGTGCAGGAGGACTGAGACCGAAAAAGGAGTCCGCAAAGGGAGTTAGGAGTGGGGCAGTTTTATAGGATTTGGGTAGGTAGTGGAAAATTACAGTCAAAGGTGTTGTTCTCTTGTGGGCAGGGGCGGGGGTCACAAGGTGCTCGGTGGGGAGCTCCTGAGAGTTACTGTCAAGGAGAAGGAATGCCACAAGGTCAATTGATCAGTTAGGGTAGGGCAGGAACAAATCACAATGGTGTAATGTCATCAGTGAAGGCAGGAACTGACTATTTTCACCTCTTTTGTGGTTCTTCAGTTGCTTCAGGCCATCTGCATGTATATGTTCAGGTCACAGGGGATATGATGGCTTAGCTGGGGCTCAGAGGCCTGACATCTTGTTGGTTTTATTTATTTGATTTCTTTACATATAGATTTTTAGGTTTTTAAGCCACATTTAGATTTTCTGGATTTCAAATGTAATATTTAGCCAATAGTCATTCACTTTTGTGTTTCAAAGAAAGATTTTTTTTAATGTTAATTTGTTTCAGTACCTGGAATATAGCTTTGAGAAACTGATTTTTATAGCTCTTTAAATGAAAGTGCATGGATATTAGTATGAAAGCAAATTAAAGCAGATTTGAAATACAAGAAATTTAGTAATTATTTAAAGAAGAAAATAAAGATTTATTCATATTTTCAATTTATATTTACTTCAAAATAAAAATCAACCTTTGTAATATTGGCGCTCATATTCTTTTTCCTGAAGAAAAAATATGAAACTGTTGTAATACATATTCTGTGTAAATCTAGTTTTAAATGTGTGTTTCTCAAGGTAGAATCTTATTCTGTAAGTTTTTGGATAAAAGGAAAACATTTTGAAATAAAGGACTGAGTAAACACCTATTTATATAGTTGATTAGTTAGTTAATTTATATCATCATATATTGACTTATAAAAGCTTTTTTGCCATAATACCAGAAGCATTTATACAGCTCTATCATGTTTTCTTTTTCTTGTCCTGCAAGATGTTTCCTCATGAGTTCATTATGTTCAAAATGATCACTTTTAACCACCTATACTGAGTTGTATCCCAAAAGTTATCACTGCCTGTAAAATTCTGTAGCCGGTATTAAATTACTTAAAACATCTTCTATAGATAATCCTTCACACTGACCATTTAAAATGTGTTTTCATTTAGAGGGGAAAATTACAGGACAAATTATGTTGCAATTACTTGTTAATATAATAAGTAGTCTTGTTAGATGATTTTGCCAATTAACTTGTATTAATTATATATGTTAAAGTGGCTTAACTTCTACCTGAATAATTACAAATAATTATTTTGTTAAAAAATTATCTCTTAAACACAATTTGCTGTAGCGAGAATGTCAAAGTAAAACAAGTGGGAATTTTTTCACTACAGAATTTCAAATATCATACTGAATTAACCCCATCAATGTTGTATGTTGATTTTTTGTTTTAGAATACAGACAAGTTCAATTACTCTAGTCACTTAGAAGTCTGTCATTATCTCTCTTCTCTCTGTTCTCCCCTACCTTTTCCTGCCTTCTTCATCCTTATTCTCTCTTCATAGCTAAATGTATTACTAAGCTTCGATGTAAATTCTCCTTCCACTAGTCCAATGCAATTGTGTTGCTAAGGTCACCAATGACCTCTAATTTACCCAATGCAATGATCTTTTTTTGTGTGTTTATTCATCATTTTGATTATTTTTCTCTGCATTTGCCCTTTAATTTGCTTTGGAAATGCACTGAACCTTTGTTTTCTAAGGCACAATGCAACCAACTAGTTTTCTCCTTTAACTGACCATTAAGTATCAGGATGACTTGAGGCTCAAATATTGATCCTGTCTGAGGTTGTCTTCTTGACCCTCCACCTATGCATGTGCTTTGACAGAGTATAGTAACTAAACACAGTATATCTCTACCCAGGGTTCTCCTTGGCAATCACAATCATCCACTACCTACTGCCCCATGGGTATGTAAAACCTATGAGAGCCAAAGGGGAAAGCCTCATCTTCTGTCTCAAGCTTTCCCTTCATCCATTTCATCTCCTTGTTTTCTCAAGATCAAAATGTGATATTTAGCCTTATCTGTTCTTCTCTCTTATGAATCATATTCAGCCCATCACAAAATGGTATCATTGGTTCCTCATTAACAATCTTTATATCTGTAGTCAACTGTTCTATTGCTCCCTTTATCTAAAACCTTAAAACTTCTTGTTTGGGTCACTTTTCTTCTCCAAAACCATTCTTTTCATTTTGGCAATCTAAAGTGCTATTATGCATAATAGCAGTCTAAAATGCTATTATGATCATATCACTGTACTCCTGAAAACTATTGTATTTCCAGTTTCTCATATTTCCTTCTTGTGCTTAATGTTTCTCAGACACATCCAAAGTAAAGCTATTATTTTTTACACCCTACTTGTTCTTCCCCAAGTTTCACGTAGGTACTTAGTGAACCCATTCTATACAGTTGTCCCAAACATAGTGACTGTTTATGTTTATCTTCCTCTATAAACAACTGAGCAAATAACATTATCGTCAATTTTCGGGTAAATCTGTATTCCAAACTCCATTACCCTAGTTCATACCACCATGTTTTCTTCTTTTCATTGGTGCAATAGTTTACAACCCCACTTCCTCTTATTGATCACATTTATCCACACTGCAGAAAAGTGCCTTTTTTAGCAGCCAGATATGATGACAATGTTTTTGCAATTCATGACATTCAATAGCTCCCAGCTGTTCTTAGAATGAAATTCAAACTCCTTATCAGAATTCACAAGGTTTTCTGGTATCACTTTTGTTATGTGCCAGCTCCCTGTTTATATTTTTTTTAGCCATACTAAACACCTTGTAGTTCCTCGAAAGTTTCACATTTTCTTAGCTACTGTTTCTTTGCGCAAAATAATCTCCACTTCTGTCTCTTTTCCTTGGTCCAACCTCTACACTCTGTTGCTATGTTCTACAGATATAAATAAACCACCTCCTTTACATTAACTTTTCCCACACCTAAAGACTAGTTTAATTATCACCCTAAATTTTACCTTGCTGAGTATTTGGTTCTCTCTCCAATGTGTTAGTAAAGTCCTTGAGGAAGGAGGGGAAAAATATTATTTATTGTATCCCAAACATTGACCATAGAACCTTATACATAGTAGCAAGGCAATAAATATTTTTATAATGAAGAAATATTCTCAGATACCTGGATTAATTGCACTACATTTATCATCCTTTAAGCACCTGAAAGGGTTATTTTACAGACAACAGCCCCAGAAATATATCTCACAACTAGCCAAGTTGAACTTTATATTCGGATCTGTCATGTCTCAATGTTGTTTTTCCTTTGCCATCACCACATGCTCCTCTGAGTCCCTCCATGGTGTCCCTCTATCACTGCAATGGTGGTAATCAACCAATTTTAGTTTCCCAGAGTTGCTACGTTGTCACACGTAGTCAGATCTTTAAACAGACTTCTTAGCATTGAAATGCTTATCTTCAGTTTTTTGTACACTTTGATTAATTTTGAATTTATTTGATATACAGTGGAGGTGCTCTCTTTTTAAAACCTCCTGTTAATAACTCAGACATGATTAGATATTTTTTTCTAAGAGACTGGCATACTCACCTCCAATAATTCCATATTAAAGCTCTATTGTCTTGGGTTGTCATAGTTAGTTTTCTATATTCCTTCACTTGAAAATAAGCTTTTGAGTAAAGGTAACTTACTTTTGTAACTCAGGAGTTTTGCCCATTCCATGAACCCAGTAGCTATTTCAAAGAAGAATACTATATGCTATGCACTAACACTACTAAATGTATTTGATCCCTGTTGCCTTCCTACAGAATGCTCATTCTCTATATCAAGACATGGTGAAATTTCACACATCCTCAATAGTTCTGCTCAAACATCTAAATATATCTTTTTATGTTAAACATCACCTTAGTTATCCTTTTATGCCTTACTTATTAAGGACTATTTGAGCTTTCTCACAGGTGACAGACTCATCATTTTTTTTTTTTTTTAGACGGAGTCTCACTCTGTCGCCTAGGGTGGAGTGCAATGGCACAATCTCAGCTCACTGCAACCTCCGCCTCCCAGGTTCAAGCGATTCTCCTGCTTCAGCTTCCCAAGTAGTTGGGATTACAGGCACAAACCACCATGACCTGCTAATTTTTTGTATTTTTAGTAGAGACAGGTTTCACCACGTTGGTCAGGCAGGTCTTGAACTCCTGACCTTGTGATCTGCCGCCTCGGCCTCCCAAAGTGTTGGGATTACAGGCGTGAGCCACCGTGCCTGGCCGACTCATCATTCTTGATTTGTATTGATGTACACCCTTGTATTACAGTTTGACTGTAAAATTATCTGGGACTGGAGCTTGGCTCTGTTTATCTTCCTACTCTCAGCACATTACAGGTTGTCTTGCGTGTGATATGTCCACAATATTTTTGCTAAATTAAAAGTGCTTATTCTTTTTCTTACAATGCATAATATTTACAAAAATAACTCCTTCCTTTTGACAATGAGGGGTTTTATACATGAGATTAATGAAGCGAGAATAAAGGCTATTTCCCATAAAGGACATAATATTTTTGGCCCAATTTGTAGAGAACTGAAATATAACTCAAAATCATATCAAAAGCTCATAGAGGAAAGAAGCCCACTATGAATTACTTAATTTTAATTTTTAGTACGAACACAGACTATGAGAATTAGGCCTCATGATTTTAACTTTCTAGGTGTTCTTTTCTATTGGAAAGGAAAATTACCTTTCGTAAGTGATTATAATGACTCTCTGAGATTAAGCATCATTTTATTAGTTGTGCTATATATCAAAGTTCTCAAAAATATTAAGTTTTGGATAAAGTAAACACAAAGCTTTTAAACCTTGTAATGATGAGAAAACTTTAAAAAGGTTTGCAGAAAGTGTGCTAAATTTTGTGGGCTTTTCTGGTTGTTAAGTGTTTCACTTTTCTTTTCTATGGTTTTAACACTAGAGTATTTATTCACAAACAAAATGAAATAAAAGAAACTACCCTTTGGCTCCTAAAATTCTATCTTATACTTATCTCCAAAAGCACCCATTTAAAGGTGTTAGTATAAGCCAGTAAAGTGAGGTGGCCTTTTACCTGACAACATTTCAATCCAAACAGAAGATAAGAAGAAAATTTATCCTTAGAGAATAATTTCAGAGTAAACTTTTCTACAGCTACTCCCCAGAGGTTAAGGTAAGAAATAAACTGAACACAAACATATCTCTATAGAAAATCGCTTGAGTTGGCTCAATTCTCCAGTGAAAGCTACAACTGTATTTACTTTTCTTCCATTTTTCTAAGAAGATATATTTAAATGAGTTATGCTTTAATGGGGGTATTTTAGAGATTGAGAAAAAAGTATCAATACTACTAAATATAATTTCTTCCAAATCTAAGTTATTAAAAAAAATTTATCAGGGCATGTTGCCCTTCCTTATGTAACTTTTGCTGACATATTTCTATTGTTGAGTCAGCTAACACAAGTATAGATCAGTAACTCTACTACAGGTATTTAGTAACAAATATAAAACCCCCTCTGAAACAAATATTTAATATTAAAAATTTCCTATTTTCATAAGCCTATAATTTTCTATGTTCCTGTTTTTATTTTTTGTAAAATTACCAATTTTATGCTATGCTTAGATAAGGCAATTCTAACACTTTATGGTAATTGCTGTATTTCCCTGTGATTACCTCTACCATCAGGTCATGATCTAATTTGTCATTGTTTTTGTGGTAATGATTCTTAGAAAATGTTACTTACTATGCATTTCTAAATATAACTAAATACATTGTTGTAAATATATGTGGCATAGACATAACTATACAAGGAGTTTTCTGATTCAGGTCATTGGGAATGGAGGTAGAGTGAAAACAAACAAAATACACAACACTCTCTTTCAAAAATAAGATAACTAAATAAATTTATTACTTACCTGCATCTATGAGTATTTTTTGTAAATCAGAATTAAAAATTCTGCCATCTTGCTGTACTGAAGTTTTTTGTTTGTTTTTTTTTTAGTTTGAAAGCTTCAGGTCCATCTATATTCTGAATCATGGTCTCTCTTGCTACCATTAATTTGTGTTTTGTTGAACACTGACTGGTGAAATTGGTAGTGTTCAATCTGCTACAAAATTGTCAAGAAACAGTGCATTTCTGATTATTTTGTAAAGCAGAATTAAAAATTAAAAAGCCATATATCTTTAAAAACTCATTTCCCGTACCATTTCAGCCTATTAGCACTCCAACCATATTGTGTAAAAATTCCCGTCATCCAAGCATTGTGAAAACTCTCACTTTTAACTATTTCTGACAATTTGCTGATAATTTGATGTGGAAAATTAGTTTGTAAAATTTTTTTAAAAAAACTAATTTTCTGTTTTAACATTGTTTCAAACCAGGAACAGTGGCTCATGTCTATAATCCCAAGATTTTGGGAGGTTGAGGCAGGAGAATTTCTTGAACCCAAGAAAGGCTTCAGTAGCTGTGATTATGCCACTTCACTCCAGCCTGAGTGACAGAGTGCGACCCTATATATATACAATTTCACCTTTTCTATAAAAATAATCCATACATATCATTTGGTATGGTTAAAATGAGAAGATGGCCTGAGTGTGATTTCCTGAATTACATGGTTTATTGCCATAAATAGAGATTTTCTATGTCCTTTTTTTTTTTTCTAACAATGCTCAAAGAGAAAAAGAATATGGAGAACCAATCTTACAGGAATGCACTGTGACAAAGTACATTAACCACATGATGAGTGAGTTCCAATTTTGTTTAGAGTTCAATTATGCAAATCTAGTTGATCAATTAAAATGGAAGTAGGCCTCTGTGGATGTAAAGTCTAATTGAAGTTTGAGGCATATCTTTCTATCAGAAGTTTTTAGGAGGGATAATTTGACCAGCACAGCATAAGTTCATGTTCACAGGCAAGGTCGTCAGACACAGGAGTGGTGCTGATGTTGGTGAATGAGGCTTGGGAGAATGCATTGAAGGCTGTCAGACAGTAGCCCTGCTACAACCTAAGCTGTCAGTTGAAGGCTACCAGAGAGCCCTGCCGGAGCCTAAGCTCTCAATGTGTCTGTCAAAGTCTTGGGTTTATATATGTTTTGGAGTCCAGTAGTTGAGGCCAATATCTCACATATATGGTTTGATAAGATGTGACATAAAATTCTCACAGAGAGGGAAATTACATTCCATGTGCTTATCATAGAAAAACTTGTGTCACTAATATAGCAAATTATTAAATTGGAATCCTTTCAAAGTTAAATAATATGCATAATGAGTCCAGATTATTTTATGATATTGTTATTATATCATAATCTATATATTTAACATTTTATTCAATTTTATATTCAAACGTATAAGATACATGTGCCCTTACGTCAATGTTCATCTAGTGTTATATCAGCCTTTATTTCTTAATTCTGAATTACTTTCTTCTGAATTACAGTACTATGTTTTAAGAAGGAATTTTAGGCCATAAAGTTTAGTTGCTTTTGGGGTTCTTGTTTTCTTCTTACGTCTTTGAGGGCATCGTTATTTTTCCTTTGCAAATAAGTCGAGAACATGGTAGTGAAGAAAATTCTTGAATCACAATATTAATGAATTGTTCATTGGTAACAATTAACAGGATAATCTAGAAGTGCAGTAAATTTTTATCAGCAAATGTGGACTAGTGAGAAAAAAACATTTATTCTAACATTTTACTGAATTTTCAGAGATTGCTCTTCAAGGCTAGATTCAAAAGGCTATTTAATATCAGGGTTTTACTTATTTTTCCTTCTAATTTTAAATTAATGTAATTTCAGTTTTTCTCTACAAAGCAGAAGAAGCTAAATAATACAATCTTAAAGAATTTGAAGATTAAAAGCTTACTCACAGCTTTTATTTTCAGTATACTAAACCACTTCCACTCTGTTTAGCTTCTCACTTGGCCATTATTTAAATTTATCTAAATTATCTCCAACTCCAAATCCTTCAATTGACTACTGCCCAAAGTACTATAAATTATTGTTGAGCCAAATACTTATGAGTGTACATTGTGTGCATAGAACTATACAATAAGTAATAAATTATGCAGATTTCTCAGCATGTGGTCTGAGGAACTTAGAAGAGGTCATTGAAGGAGGGTAAGATAAAAACATAAAATGGATACTATAATACATTATTGGGAAGATACTTTTTGGTTTTATTATAATAATACTAAGGATGGAAATATATTTCCTGAATTTAAGTAATTAATGATTTAAGATACTAATAATTGAAGTTATGTAAGAAAACATCAGGAAGAAAGTGGATTTTATTTAGCCGATAAATTTTAATAGTGTATCTAAATGCTGTCTTTGGGAAGAGGATTATCAAAAGAAGAGAAGAGATTAAAACTAACTTAATAAATAGAACAAAGTGTAAATAATGTTTAAATTAAAATGAATATTCTAGTTGTGAAGATGACAAAGATCATTCTTTCCAGAAAACAGGGGTATTAATATACTACATATAT
This sequence comes from Homo sapiens, assembly GCF_000001405.40. Lineage (NCBI taxonomy): Eukaryota > Metazoa > Chordata > Mammalia > Primates > Hominidae > Homo > Homo sapiens. Next base: position 84,124,101 of record NC_000003.12, read on the forward strand.
TTTGAAAAACATTTACAAATATTTCATTCAATATGACAAATAATGATTTCTTTTTAATATAACTGTATCTCTCTCAAAACAATGTGTCTGTGTTATGAAACAGAGCCCCTTCTCTATAAAGTCACTGTATCACCTGACTTAAAATAAATGTTAATTAAATTCAGTTGTAAGTGAAATTCCAGCACAGTACTCATGGTGATGCGTTCCTAACAAAACAAATTTAGCAACTTAATTCCTGGAATGATGGTATATTTACAGGCATAGTTTCTTACTTTCATAGATCAATTTTTCAAAAACTGTCACCAATTTTTAAGACTTATCATATATTTACTCTGGCTTATCTTTTAAGTGCTAACCCATTTCAAGCCACCATAAAGTTCTCATTTTTAATATTTAGTGTGGTACTTTTTCTCGGCAATGTTTTGTTTTTTTTGTTTGACGGAGTCTCGTTCTGTTGCCCAGGCTGGAGTGCAGTGGCGCCATCTTGGTTCACTGCAAACTCCGCCTTTAGGGTTCAAGTGATTCTTCTGCCTCAGCCTCCCGAGTAGCTGAGATTACAGGCACTCGCCTTCACGGCCAGCTATTTTTTTTTTTGTATTTATTTATTTATTTATTTATTTATTTCTAGTAGAGACGGGATTTTACCATGTTGGCCAGGCATCTCTGCACTCTCTGGGGCCCAGGAAGCTCCTGACCTCAGGTGATACACCCACCTCAGCCTCCCAAAGTGCTGGGATTACAGGTGTCAGCCACCGCTCCCGACCTTTCTTGGCAATATTTTAGCAGACAGAACACTATTACTTTCACCAGTCACTGTTCAACACAATACAAGTTAGTGGCACTAAGAGAGACCACAATTGAGAAGATAGATTTAAAAAAGTGCAGTACAGCAAGATGGCAATAACATTTTTAGGTTGAAAGCATAAAGTAGTACTCATCTAACCATTAGGTACTATAACGAATATACAAATAAATAAATATAGTATGCTGTGTGTGTGAATGTGTACTTGGATATACATACCCAAATACTACTGATGGCAGCAGCGGCCCATCTGGAGGGTCTGCTGCAAAGACGTCCACTGCAGTGGGGTAGGTGCGGCCAGGGCTGCATACTTCACAGAGCCAGCCGGGACAGGCAACATTTGGGAGCCCTGCACCGTACTGAGTCAATGGGGCAGGAGCCGGACATTCCTGGAGCCCCACACTCCAGGGTGCAGCTGCAGCCACCCAGCCATGGCCCAGGACCCAGGCATCTCTGCACTCTCGGGGGCCCAGGAAGCTCCTTGTCTCTGCAGGCTTGAAAGTTCCTGCTCCCACTGCCTGGCCTCAACCGGCTCCTGGCACCCACTCTGGGTGGGAGCAAAGTTGTGGCCGAGCCTGGGAGCTCTTGCAACCCGGCCAGGTGTGTGCATGCTTGGGGTGGCACTGGCATGTCAGCGCCCTGAAGCCTTGGTCCCCTCCAGACTTTGGACGTCAACAACTACGGGAGGGAGGCTGAGTGGGGCCTGAGGGCAGCTCCGCATGGGTCCCCAGGTGCCCCTCAGCTCAAACATCCTGGGTGCCCTGGATGACAGGTCAGCCCAGGAGGCAGACAGTCTCCTGGGCAGAAAGGTGCGGGTCCCTGGTGACGCCCCACCTTCAAGTCAAGGAAGGCCTGAAGCCTGGAGGCCAGGATGTCAGTTCTGGGTGGAGTCCGCGGCCTGGAGTGAGAATTTATGGCGCTTTTTCAGTGCCCACTGATGGCTGTCCATGGACCAATCAACATGCACTTCCTCCCTTCTGAGCCCGTAAGAAAACCCAGACCAAGCCAGACTCACACAGACACTGGGGCTATCCTCTTTAGGTCTCGCGAGAGCTGTTCTGTCGCTCAATGAAACTCCTCCCCACCTTGCCCACCCACATCGTTCTTCCTGGACGTGGAACAGGAACTCTCGCCGCTGAGTAGCGGGACTGAAAGCTGTAACGCAAACAGGGCTGTAATGCACCGCCTGCTCGTCGGCTTGCGGCCGACGAGAAGGAGAAAAGAACTGCGGCTCTTCGGGGACCCCAGACCTAGGGGAATCCCTGGGCCAGGGCAATGACACCCTCTTTGGGTCTCTGAGGTTCCTGTTGTTTTCAAGGTTCCAGGCACCACTGCATTACCCTTATCCAGATGCGGGTGCCCGCAGTGGAAGTCACTTGCGGTGGCTGCAGCCACCTGATCCAGCTGCAGCTTTGCATGGAGCTGGCGCCTGTGCCGGCGCCTGGAACTGCCCACCCCACTACAGCAGCTGGCGGGCTTGGCTGTGTGCAGTGGCTGGACTCCATGCTCACTCCGCTCCGTGCCTGGCTCACCCTTGGCTGGCATAGGATCCGGAATGGTAGCGCTAGCGGAGCACAGGCTGCCGGGCCGTGTGGGTGGAATGAGCTGAGTGGGCAAATCTCGGGAAAAGGCGCCACCACCACAGAAGTTTCAGCTGGAATAGTGACATCCTAAGGATCCCCAAACTCTATGTGTGTACATGGATATATACACACACACTATGTGTACAGGGATACATATACACACATACTCTGTGTGTGTGAATGTGTACATGGATACACGATAAATGAATATTTATAGATATTGCTAAAATATGTTTATTTAATGTATACCAAGGACTTACTCGTCAATATTTATTAGATTTCTGAATTGCTTTTGTACATTTCACTTTTATATATTTTCTAGATTCTTATAGATAATTTTATGTTTATTTACTGTTTCTATGTGCCAACTCAGTAGTTTGTAATACCATTGATATATTTCCAATGTGTGTTTATAGTCTGGAAAATTTTTACTATATTATATATCTGCTAAACTACATCTCAGAAAACTCACCAGAGACAATGATTTATTTCCATGTGAAAATAATATTACTTTTATAGGAAAATTTGAAAAGCTATTTTGAAAATTTAAGAAATTAAATATTAATATGTAAATCACTGGTAAAAATCCTATAAGAAAAATGAGAATTCATAATTTTCCTAAAACTTTTTATGCTTTTTTATATTATGTTATTTGTACTTTTTCAATCCCTTGTAGGTTCATAAAGGAATTATAAAAATACAAGATATGCTTTTCTCATTATTTTAAGCACATTTCAGTTATGAGTTAATATATAAAAGGAAAGAGGCAGAAACATCTTGAACTAAAAGTACAGTAAAAATCTATAGTAAATTGATATAAAGCGAATGATGATTTGCTCCTGTCAGACATTCATTCTCTCTTTCTCAAACAAAGAGGGTAAGGTTGTTTTTCTTGCAGAGGTATTAGAAGATGACTACTGCTGGATCTTTTGGTCCAAAAACTACATTGCATAGTTAGTTGTCTACCATAGAAGATCCATTATGTTTATTTTGAGTTGTTTTGTGACAGTATTATCTAACAAAAATATTATTTTTCATTAACCCCAAGAAATTTGGCCCTTTATTATAGGCTATTGAATTTTGGGACCCTAAACTATAAGAAAAAAATGATAAAGTTTGCATGTTCTATATCAAGGGTGTTTGTATATATGCTGTGTTAAGTAATATTGAAATACTTCTTCAAAAGACAAATAGATTCTCAAGTGTCATGTAAGTAGAAATTCAAGTAAACGGAGTTACATTAATGAAAAGAGTTTCCTGTTTTCATATGAAATTTAGGTACTATAAATTGATTTGAGAAGATATTTTGGATGAAACAGAACTAATATTTATTTAAGAAAAAAAAAAGGATTAGTTATCTTCTATTTGCTGGATTTTATTCACTCTCCATCTTTCCCTACCTTGTTCTGTGTCTTAGCACGCTAAATCTTACAGGTAACATCAAAGGTCTCCTTGCTTTCTGGAATCCAGTTGCATTTGCTATATTGGAGTGTGCAGAGTACAGAGGTTGAAACTTGGGTATTGAATCCCAGGGATCTCTACCAAGCAGGCTGCTGGAGATTGGTCCCTGTCCCGGGAATTAACACCCCTTTTCAGGCAACACTCTATTGAGGCACTCTCTAGGCTCTGGTAGCTGCATGATTTCTTTTCTCCTTTAGAACCTTGATGATCATCTTCCCTCAATCCTACTGCATTCTCCCTGCTGGATTCGCCAGATTTTGTCTCCACAGTTGAAAGCAGTCTGTTACTAAATTGTTGACAGCTTGAGTGTATCTGTCTTTTCTGTTAGAAACCTGACAGAAATAGCACAATTATTCAAGTGTGCCTATTCTTTTCTTTCTCTTGTATTTGACAAATGTGACTGTATCTACTTGCAAATATAAATATAAAATATTTCATTATAATTAACAACCCCCCCAGCATTTATATGAGTTATATGTACTAATGTGTGGATGTCTAAATACAATAGACTCTTAATTAATTAGACAATGACAACCAAACACAAGACATTCGTAGCAGGAAAAAAATTCCAAGATAATTTGAACATATATATTAATATTGAAAAAATACAAACTGCAAAAAACACAAGTTAAAATTTGATATCAAAAGCATCAAAATTTGGGTATCTCAAATGAAAAAAGATTAAAAATAGTATGTTCCTTTATCAAGTAATTTATTTTTAAGTTTAAAAATATTTTCCACAATAGGTTTTTTTTTGTTCATCTTTGTAGATTTTGACTTTTATTTAGATTTAGGGGATACACATGCAAGTTTTTTACATTGTATATTACGTGATGCTGAGGTCTAGGGTATGAATGATCCCATTACCCAATGAGCATAGTACCTGATAGGTAGTTTTTCAATTTTGCCCTGTCCCCCGCTCCTCCCTTTGGGAGTCCCCAGTGTCTATTGCTCCCAACTTTATGTCCTTATGTACCTAATGTGTAGCTCTCACATATAGTTGAAAAAATGAGGTATTTGGTTTTCTGTTTCTGCATTAATTTGCTTAGAATAATGACCTCCAACTGCATCCGTGTTGCTGCAAAGATGTGATTTCATTCTTTGTTTTAGCTGTGTAATATTCCATGGTGTAAATGTACCAAATTTTCTTTATCCAATCCACCATTCACAGACAGGTTGATTTCATGTCTTTCCCATAATGAACAGTGCTGCAATGAACATACAAGGGCATGTCTTTTTAGTAACAATTTATTTTCCTTTGGCTATATACCCAGTAATGAGATTTCTGGGTCAAATGGTAGTTCTGTTTAACGTTCTTTGAGAAATTTATGAACTTCTTTCCACAGTGGCTGAACTAATTTACATTCTAACCAACAGTGTATAATGTTTCCTTTACTCCACAGCCTTACCAGTATCTGTTATTTTTTGACATTTTAATAATAGCCATTCCGATTGGTGTGAGATTCTATCGCATAGTGGTTTTGATTTGCAGTTATCTGATGATTAGTGATGTTCAGCATTTCTTCATGTTCGTTGGTCACTTGTATGTCTTTCTTTGAGAGGTATCTATTCATGTCTTTTGACCACTTTTTAATTAGGTTATTTCTCCCTTGTTGAATTAAGCACTTATAGCTTCTCGATTTTCGAACTTTGTCATATACATAGTTGCAAATATTTTCTCCCATTCTTTAGGATTTTTGTTTACTCTTTAGTCTAATTAGGTCCACTTGTCAATTTTTAACAGAGGCTTGTTTACTATAAAATAAATTTATATTTCTCTGCTTTAATGATGTTAGAAATGAGTTAGGAAAGCTTGAAATTATATGATCAGTCATGAGAGTGTTAAAAATGATTGCATAACTGATCTAAAAGTAAAAGTAAAATGATCATAGTTTGTAAAATATAATATTAATTCAAACAAAACCGAGATGACCAAAATGATTGCTTGGATGTATTTCATTCTACTCATCAAGAATGTACATTGTTAATTATAAATTATTAAATACATGTAGAAAGAGATAATATGAATGTATTGAGATGTGCCTCACAGCACTTTATCTATATGTCTCTTTTAAGATAAAAGATTCTCTTAATATGCCTCTGTATTAGTCTGTTTTGACACTGCTATTAAGAATTGCCTAAGAGTATGTAATTTATATTAAAAAAAAGAGGTTTAATTGACTCACAGTTCCGCATGGCTGACATGTGGAGATTACAAGTCGAGATGAGATTTGATGAGGACATAGAGCCAAGACATATCAGCCTCTTTCAAGAAGAGTCATTTAAAAACCATTAACTATAAATGTTATAAAGAGCTAAAAAACTTTCTAAAATTGATTTTCTAAATTCAAGAAATTGAAAGAATCCTCCCTTCTCCCATATTTTTTGATATTCACGGTTATTAATTTATTTTTTAAATTTTAAATTTGAATTTATATTATTTATAATTATTATTTTATTATTTATAATTATAAGTTAAATTATGCAATAAAATGTATAGGTCTTAAGGTACATTTTGATGTCCTCTGACAAGTAAATATGTCCACATAATCCACACTGAAGTCAATATTAGACCATCTCCCTCACCTCAGAAAGTTCCTTATGACCCTGTGGAAGTCAGGTACCACAAGTGAGAAAAATCCACAGTAGTGGTTTCAAAACTATATATTAGTTTTGTTTCTCCAGGAACATTATGTAAATGGAATCACGTAGATGTACTATCCTGTATCAAACATTTTTGGCTGAAAATAACATCTAAGAAATCCATTCATTCTACTGTAATTATCAGTGCTTTTTAATTGATGGATAGTACTTTATTGTATGGATATACCACAATATGTATTTATACTCTCAGGTGGATGAACATTTGGGAGGCTTCTAGTTTTTGACTATTATGAAAAAGGTGCCTTAACATGACTTAAAAATCTTAACATTTTTATACAAGATGTTTGATGAATACACATTTTCATCTGTTTTTGGTAAACCTAAGAGTGGAAAGTCTCTCTCAAAGGGTAGATTGACATTAAAAGAACCTGTCAAACTGTTTCCCAAAGTTGGGGGTTTCACTTTTCATTTCCACCAGTAAGGTATGAACGTTTTAGTTTTTCTACGTCTTTGGAAATATTAGGTGCTAAGCATCACTTGATTTTAGCCATTGGATACATATTTGTGGTAATAATGCAGAAGTTTGATATGTAAAATACATAAATGTTGAAACTTTAAAAATATAAATTATCTATGAGAAAAATGAATAGAGGACATCAAGTGAAAAATAACACAAAGTATAACTACCCAATAAACATATGGAAATAAGTTAACTCCACATAGCACATATCAAACAGCTGCTAATTAAAATATGATGACACTTTAAAATTTATCAAATTAGACTTGATTAAAAATAAAACTGCAACATTGTTGTGAGAGTAGAGTATAAGGGAGATGTATATGGTCTTTTATTTGGAATATAGATTTATATATATTTCTCAAATAATTGGCAATATTTATTAAAGCATATTAAAATGTCCTACCTGTTTGTTATCTTGTATTTTAACTTTCACACAAATATAATAAGGAGTTGATACAGGATAAAAATGGAAGTTTTTAGCAAAAATGTTGAAAGATGTATAACGTCAACATATTTAAAACTTTTAAATGTCTAATTGAAATTATTAAATTGAAGCCCATAGACTCTTCTTAAATATTTTTACCATTAAAAATGTTTGGAATAATATTTCATAATCCATTTATGTTTAAGCTTAAAAATATTACATCTAATTTGATTTATATTCATAGTGATATATAATCATATGTAAAAAAAATACACAAATATATTCCTGGAAGAAACACTTGAAAATTACTGGCATAATAGATGAGTGATGCCATTATTTCTGACTTGTGCTTTCTTTCTTTTTTTCACATTTTTGACAATAAATATGTAATATTTTAATTGTTTACAGTGGACTTTTTTTTCCATTTGTTTACATATGTTTTCTTGCATTGACCCGTATTATCTATTTGAATTATTTATAATTCATACAGTCATATGTATTGTTTACCTTACTATTTCATTTCCTCCTTTTACTTATTTGCTTGTATGTCTGGAAAATACTTCAAATATTGATTTTGTATCCCTAGCTCTACTCTTACCACAGTTCTCCATAAAATTACCCACCCTTCCCCACAGTCACACATAAGAAAAATTTAATGTAAGATATATCCACTCAATGTCTCACTTACATTTATAAACGTGACCTCTAATTTCTATCACCCTTCAGGAAGTGGGCCTAAAAAATTACTGTTGATGCAGTACATGGTCTGAAATTATCCAAAAATAGCATTTGTGATAGTTAGAATACAAGCTGAAAACTGATTGCTCCACATGCTGAATTGGTCTGTAAGTTAATTTTGTTTGCCCTGCACAATGCTTCAAATGTCATTTATTTCTGCGATTGAAACATTTTACATAATAACTGAGATTTTCAGCTTTACTCAAAATGTAAGAAAGATTCAACCACATTGAGTCTGTGGTTCTGCAAATCCTGAAAAAAATGTCAAATACTCCATTTGTAGGCAGTCTACTTTGATCACCAGCATCTTTTTTGTTTGTTTATTTATAAGTGAATTTTATTTTAAATTATAAAATGAAACTTTGTCTATGCAATGTATGGTACTCAAGAGAAATTGACCCTTTATTCATGTTCACGAGTGGGTCCTAATTAGCTTTGGTCAGTCATGACAATCAGATCTATTTTGTAGGTGATTGACTCAGAAAATTCAGCTTTACACATCAACAGACAATATTCAGCTGGTGCTATGGTCCATATGTTTATGTACCCCAAAATTAAAATCTTAAAATTCTAACTCCCACGGTGGTGGTATTAAGAAGTGTGGACTTTAAGGAAGTAATTAGGTCAAAAATGCAGAGACTTTATGAATAGGATTAGTGCCCTTATAAAAGAAGCTCCAGAAAGCTTCCTTGCTCTTCTGCACTGTGAGAACAAAGCAAGAAAACACTCTTCATAACGAAGCAAGCTCTTTCTCAATACCAAATCTGCCAGTTCATTGATCTTAGACTTTCTAGCTTCTAGAACTGTAAGAAATAAATTTCTGTTGTTTAATAAGCCACCCAGCCTATACTATCTTATTATAGAAGCCCGAAGGGACTGAGACACCTGGAAATTGTTTTAGCCAGAAAGTGAGCACATGGACTGAAGTGAGCCAAGCCAAAGAAGGAAAGACTTTTTATTCAAGCCTTGTAGAAAAACTAACTCTTTCTCACTCTCTCTCTCTTTCTCTCTCTCTCTTTTTCTTTGTGTCAATGAAAAAAATTGAAGAGAGCCTTGACAACAATAACACTGATAATGACTCTTTATCAGGACTTCCAGTCATACAAAACATATTACTTAGGTCATTTGAGCCAGATTTTGATTACCTGTATTAGGAAGCATCTATTTGAAACTCTCATTTAGTTCGTGCACATATGCTCCCACTTAAAAGATAACCATTTGCAATTCATTATCCTGGACTTAGCCTTCTTTACTAATCTGTATTTTCTATGTGACTCTTGAAAGCATTTCGGTTAATAAACACTAATTTAGCAAACTTGAAACATTATATTTTAAAATAATCCTAAAAGGACGTTGTGTGCATGTGTGTATGAAGGGGGAACTCATGATGTTGACTACATATCCTTTAACTTATATACCTGAGAAGCAGACATCTGATGTTTTTTATTAAATACAGATTAGCAATTTTAGTACTCAGAAATAAAGACATACTTTTGTAAGAGATGTGCAGCATATATATGACTGAAAATAGAGTATGCTCGTACCCACACACTTGTTAGCACTATCGGTTTCCTCAAATACAAATTTGAAAGCTGCACGTATGTCTTCTTTTAAAAAGTGTCAGTTCATGTCCTTTCCCTGCTTATTAATGTCATTGTATATGTTTTGCTTGTTGAACTATTTAAGTTTCTTATAGACTCTTACAGAACCATCTCTAAAGGTTACCACTGCTAACCAGTTTCTCATAGACATGTGTAAAAGCATATATAGCAAGCTAGATTGAAAGGTCAATATTGTATATATTTAATTCTACTTTATATTTAGTTCTACTTGAAGGAGTGTAAATAATACCTAATTCTACTGTTTTAAAGCATTTCATAGAATTCAGTATTTCAAACAGTCCTCAGTCATATAAATATGGCTAAATAAGTGAATTAGTCTGTAAATGTACATCCTGTTGATAAATAAGGTAACAGACTATTTTAATTCATCGTATTAGTATAGTTTTTTATTCCCTGAAAAGTACTGTCTATTTACAGTTAATGGATCTCCTCATCTGTAAAAATATTAACTTGGTCACTAAAAACATCTTTTAATAAACATTTCTGAAATGTGAAATTAATAAAAAGTCATAACACTGAGTTCTTAGGCTATGTAAATTTTCATTAAAATAATGACTCCACTAGTTTTCAGATAGTCATGTGTAGCTTGACAGGTATAGTTTGGGAATAAAGACAAAAATTTACAGTCCAAATTATTCACTATGTTGATGTTAGACATAAAGAAATTTGAAACTCTCTAGATGTAAAATCTTTACAATTTGAAAATAAATATATCGTCCATTCATATTCACATAGATATTATACGTTAAGTATTAAATAAGTAAAAAATATTTCTGAAAATTTAAATATCTTTGAAAAAGATTAGTGATGCCACTATTTTTATTTTGGATTTATATACCTTTCTGCTTATTAGCACCAGCCCAATGCTTAAAACAGACTACTTCTATCTGCATAGAAAAAAGCACATTCTATGATTCTATATCTCATACTTAAGGAACTTTTATTTTAAAAAGTAAACAGAGAACAGTAGCCAATAACAACAGCAAAGTAGTAACAACAAACAGCTGTAGCTGCAACAATACCAGTTATAAAACAACAAGGTAAAACAAATATAACCTAGAAAACGAAGGTAGTATGTGAGGCATATGTAACTAAATACTTTTTTTCACGAGTTTAGTGATAGATGAATTGATTAACAAAATATATTTCCTTTAACAATCTTGCTAATATGGCTTTTCACCACCATTGCATTAAAACAAAAAGCTAACTTTTCCTAAATCTTGATATATGAATTTAAAAAAATGGCTTCTATTGGAGTTACAGTGTTTCTGAAAATCATTTTTGGCAGTTTTATGCTTTAGACAGAGCATATCCTAGTGACTTAAGTTGGAGTATAACATATTAATTTAATGTAAACCAATATCTTACTAAAAATATGTACACTTTTAATGTTTTCACAGATGTTTTATAACAACCATGACTTACAATATGAAAGAGAGCTAAGTTATTAAACATAAACTTAAGAGACCACAAAAATATTCCTATTCTCAATTTGCCAAAAAGGAAGAAAGAAAAGAGAAAGAAGGAAAGAAAGGGAGGGAAGGAAGAAAGAAAGGAAGGAAAGGAGGAAGAGAGGAATTGACGAAGAAAAGAGGGAAGGAAGGGAGAAGGAAGGAAAGGAAAAACATTATTGCAGATAAAGGGTGGTGCAACTGTGTTTCAACTCTGGCAGCTGACAGGAATAAAAATAGAAAATATATTATTTAGTAATTGAGTAACAAAGTGAAAAAAAAAAGAAATCTAATATTTATTGAGCACCTGATGTGTGCCATGTAGTTTCATCAATGTTATCTCATTTTATTCTCCAACAATTACCTTAAGTAAAAATTGCCCTCTGTTCATTTTAAGCTTATTTCTATAAGCTTCAGAATGAAAGGGGAAGTTCCTTACAGTTAACTAGTGGATTTGATTCTCACCAACAATGAATATTTTGAAAGAAATGAAGATTAAGGATATGGAGATAATTTACACCATCGAAAAAAAATACATTTTATTGAAGTAAAACATTGTTCCGTCCAGCTGAAGTCATCCCAAAAGTGGCAGCAGGTTAGTTTCCACAGGGGAATGCCCCAAATCACCCCAAGATGGGGTCAGTCGGAATTTCAAGGAAAGCAGCACTAGTTGCCAGAATGATCAGTCCAAAGCATTGTTACCCGGCAATTTACGTATGGAGGGGCCTGCAGAGTGTCCTCACAATGGGCAGTGAGAGAAAGAGCTGTTTTTCCTAGTTATGTCCACAATGACAGGTCAAGTTATGGAGTTTATATGAGGGTTGAAGGAATTTGGCTTAAAATAAGGCAGGTTCCTTTCAGTGTTTTGAGGGAAGGGAAGGAGGGAAGGAAGGACAGCCTAAACACCTTTATCAGGACTGGTTACGTTCAAGGCCCCGGCTAAGGTTCAAGCTTGCAGGGGAACACATAGAGCCGGGCAAGTCACAGAGTGGTCAGGAACAGAGAAAAAAGTAGGAGAAACTAAAGGACCCGAAATCATCTATGAAGAAAGAGATATGACTCAACTATGAAGCTCAGTGAAAGATTATAGACTGATATCACTAACAAAACCATCAACTTAGTTATAAATCCGGTAAACATGTATGGATTTATGTTGTAAATTTCAATTGTGCTATATTGGCCTATTCTAGTGAATGGAATAATGTCTTTGTTGTATCTTTGGAACCAATGGTCATTATTTATTACTGTACATCTTTCTGATTTGTTTTTCATCAGTATTATCTTGACTACTATTAACATTTGAATTTCCATAAAGAAACTACTGCCCCATTTGGGACTTAGTTGGGATTGCAGCCAAATTGCAAATTCCTTAAAGCTCAGTTCCCTGTTAAGATTTGGTCGGGATTTCAATGAATCTCTAAATCCATTCATGTTTAATTGCCTTTTTTACAATATTGAGTCTTCCAATCTGTGAAACTGGAATTTCCATTTATTTAGGCCTTCTTTAATTTTGCATATGTTATACTCCTCAGTGTAGAGGTCTTGCAAATCCTTCAGCACATTTATGTCTATGTTATATATTTTATTTATTAAATGATATTCAAATAACATAAAGTTCATTTTCTATTTGAATTGACTGCATATTTATCAGCAGTATATATGTACCCTTTTAGTTTTTACTATATTTTTACTAAACAATGTTTATATTTACTGTTTTTTTCTCATTACAGTTTTGCTAAATTGTATTTTTATAAAATGTATCCATTTTATTAAAATATTTCATTTAACAACGTAAAATCGTTTTTAAATTCTTGATATATTTTTAGGACATATAGAATCCCTGTTGTCAGTTTATTTTGCATTTTATTACTTCTCTCCCTCCCTCTTTTTATTGTCTTCTATTCACATTAATTACTTATTCTTTTCAAAAATCTAATTTTGGCTTTGATATAATTCTAGTTTTAAAAGGCTTTTCTATTTTACTACATTTATTTCATTTGTATTATTTTCTTTATATTTTTGTGGCTTAGCTCTCTCTTATTTCAAGTTTTTAATTACTTATATATGTATTTGGGAAATGTTTTTTCCAAAAATGTTACACAAACTTTTATTTATATAATGAGAGGGGTATAGGAGACACTTACATAAAAATACCCTTAGCATATAAAGCGATACAGTTATTTCCAAAATTATTATTTTGGGTTCAATTTTGTACCCAAAATATATTATCATTTCCTTGATAACTGAGTTTATATCTATCTATCTGTCTGTAAATTTTCATCCTTTTGTTCTCTTATACGTTTGTCACATTTTTATTATTTCTATAAGCCCTTACAATTTTAATAGCATAACTCATTAATATTAATAAAATTAATTTAGCAGAAAATGAACTAAAATACACAAAAATTAATAATTCTAACATACATAAATCTGATAAGGGTGCAGTAATAAAAAATGCCTTTAAATATAAAAGAAAGGTAAAGTACTTGGAGCTGAGCTTAACAAAAACTTTGCAAAATCTATACATAAAAAATTTTAAAACTTTAAAATAACCCTGAAAACACATAAATACATTTGCACTAATGGAAAGAAAATAATATTTCTTGTTCATACAGATATCAGTTACTTCTTCCATTTAATGTATAAATTTAAAATAATCCTAATAAACATACCACAAACCTTTTTGGTGGAGGTAAAGGTGACACCAAAGCTTTTATAAAATATCATAAAAGAGTAACTAGATAAAAACACTGAAAAATAAAAACAATGAATGGTCTATTTCTACAAGATATTATAAAGTGCCATTAGCATACATTAAAGTAGGTATGTTGTAAAATATACATACATTAAAAATATACTATATATAATATACTATAAAGTATTTTTAATCAAAATAGTGTGGTATTGCGCATTAATAGGCAAACAAATGAAGTTTCAACTATACAAAATATATATGGAAACATATTTCATTATACACCAATGAACCAAAGATAAATATTTAAATTAATGAAAATTTAAATTGATGGAAAATTATGTGAAAGAACAAAAGTAGATCATACTACATATTATATACAACTAAATAAGAGATACAAATATAAAAGTTAAAAATATACAAGTAATAGAGTAAATTTCTATAAACCTAAATAAATAAAATCTAAATTCAATTAAGTAAAAGACTGATACATTTGACCACATAAATTATTTCTCAAATCTGTGCATTTCAACAAATGCCACAAACCATTATAAAAGGGTAAAACAAATGACACTTTGAATAAAAGTATTACAAAGTATATCAGAGGTAAAGGCTAATAACCCTAATATATGGAGAACTGAAATATTAAGGGTGGGAGAAATAGCAAACGCTCACACCATAATTGAGCAAAACACATAAAAAGACCATTTTCCAAAGATAATATTAAGATGACCATGAAAAATTTTAAAGGCCAATTATATGCAAAAGAAGATAAATGAGAAAATGACAATGAAACACACCAAATTGTAAAAGAGTAAATGTTTTGATCAGGAACAAGGCAGGATATCCACTTCCACCAACTTAACTCAAAATAGTATTGGAATTCTAGCCACTGAATAAAAAAAAACTTTATGTATGTTGGAAACTACACCACACCAATCAAAGTAATCAAAGCAGATTAATACTGTGTTCATAGATTGAAAGACTCAGTATGGTAATGATGTCAATCCCTTCCCTGCAAAATTAATTTATAGGCTCAAAGCAATTTCTATCAGAAACTTAGCAAGGTTTCCAGTAGGCATAAACTAGCTTATTCTAATAGTGATATGGAAAGTCATAGGCCATAGTTTAGCTAAAGCAGTCTTGAGAAAGGAGAAAAAGTGGTACAAATCACTCTATCTGATATTATGGCTTACCACGTAACTAGATTATTCAAGACAGTGTACTGGGAGCATAATAAACACATACATCAAGGGAATAGAAGAGAAAACCTTAAATCAACTGACACAAATACATTCAATTAATTTTTGACAAGGTTTTAAAGGTAATTCAATAGAGGAAGGATAGCCTTTTCAACAAATGGTACAATTTGACATCAACAGGCAAACAAGCAAACAAACAAAAACCACTATAACATCTTTGGAAAAAAAAACACAAGAAAAAGTCTTTGGGATCTACAGCTATGCAAATAATTTGTAGAAATAGCACTAAAAATGTTCAATCTGTAAAATAAAACAAAAGATACATTTTGCCTCATCCAGATGAAAACCTCTGGCATTGTGCAAGTTCATGTGAAGAGGATTTAAAGACCAGCTGCAGATGGGCAAAAAATATTTAAAAACCACTTATATGGCAAAAGACTAGTACTTCATATATATAGATATAGAGATAGAGATAGGTATAGATATAGATATAGATAAAAATTTTAAACCTCAAGAGTAGAAAAACGACAATTTAATCAGAAAGTAGGCAAAAAATATGTACAGACATTTCACTGAAGAGGATATGTAGTTAGCTAATATAAATAAATGGATTTAAAAAAATTATCCATCAGGTAAATTCAAATGAAAACCACAATGATATATTCCCACATCCTATTAAAATAAATAAAACAAAAAATAGTTGCAACACCAAATGCTGGTCATGGCACTGAAAAATAAGATCAATCATACATTACTGGTAGAAATGTAAAAATTTAGTAAAAATAGTACAGATATTCTCTAAAACAATTTGGAAATTTTATATAAAATGAAACATTCAATTTCCCGGAAATCCCACTCTTTACATTTAACCTCAATTTTAAATAGATTATGTTTAGACAAAACCTTCTCTATGAATGTTTATATAAGCTTTAATTGTAATAGCTAAAAACTTAAAACAAACCTGATGTTCTTCAATGAATAAACAAACAGTGATGCCTCCATGCCATGGAATGTAATTCAACAATGTAAAGAAACAAATAGTTCTTGGATACAACTTGGCTCAGCAAATATGTCCAATCCATACTGTATGATTCCATTTTTATAATATTTTAGAAATGAGAACATTTAGAAATGGAGTGCAGGTAATTTAGTAGTGGTTAGTGCGGGGACGGAGCGAGCATGGGAGGTTGATCTTGCTATAAGAGGGCATTGCCAGTAGCCTTTTGGTGATAAAACTGCTCTGTACAGACACTGTGTTGGTGGATCCATGAACCTACTATTTTATACAATTGTGAAGAACTAAACACACACACACTCACACACACACTCCCCAAATGAATACAAATGTAACTCAGGAAATAATGTGTATGAGGTTGGTGAATTGTATCAGTGTCAATATTCTGACTGAAATATTTCAGTATAGTTTTTCAATGTGCTTCCTCGTCTTAGGAAAACTGAGAAGGAGTACATGACATGTCTCTGTGGTATTTCTTACAACTGTGAGTAAATCTATAATTATCTCAATAAAAATTTCAATACAATATAATTACCCTGAAACACTTTCTCAACTATCAGGCTGGGAAATTACAAAGCTTGACAGTACATTTTGTTGGCGAGTGTGTAGGGAAAGAATCACTCAATATATTCCCTGTGGAAAATGAAATGAGTACAATATGTGCAAGGAAGAATTTGGTAACGTATAATAAAATGATAGGAGTGCTTACTTTCTGATTCAGTAACTACAATTCTCAATATTTCCTTGACTTTAACCCTCCAATACTAAATATATATTAACAGGTTTATTGTATTGTTTGCAAATGCAATATGTTGGAAATAACTCAAATTTTTAAATATGGGGAAATGATTAAGCTGTAATTCTGCTATCTTTACAATGGAGAAGATAGATGTACTACAGACTTTTATCATGCAACTGTTGAAAAAACATACAAAATATCGTATGAATTGAAGCCAAAGAGAATTATTCCCAAAATGTAATTTTAAGGAAGGATAACAAAATTTATAAGTTTGCTAAACTATCATATGACTACCTATTGCATAAGAAATAAATACAAAAGCGGTATCTACTTATTTTTTATTAAAAAAAAAATTTAAAAAGGCCAGGCGCGGTGGCTCACGCCTGTAATCCCAGCACTTCAGGAGGCCGAGGTGGGCGGATCACAAGGTCAGGAGCTCGAGACCATCCTGGCTAACACGGTGAAACCCCGTCTCTACTAAAAATACAAAAAATTAGCCGGGCATGGCGGCTGGCGCCTCTAGTCCCAGCTACTCAGGAGGCTGAGACAGGAGAATGGCGTGAACCTGGGAGGCGGAGCTTGCAGTGAGTGGAGATCGCACCACTGCACTCCAGCCTGGGCAACAGAGCAAGACTCCGCCTCAAAAAAAAAAAAAAAGAAAAGAAAAAGAAAATATGAGCCAGAAACTACTGTGAGTGATTACCTAACAGGGATGGTTGGGAATGTAGTAAAAGAATGAATAGTAGGAATGAGGTAGAATTAATATGGGAAAGTGATACATTTCTAAATACACATTTTTTTTGCATTTTTCACTTTTTGGAGCCATGTCAATATTTAGTAAGTCAGAAAACGTTTATTTAAAAAGACTGAGGAATGAGAAAATCTACAATGGAAGATGAACAAAACCAAAGGAATTCAACTGTATTTTAAATATGAGGTAGGTACTTTAGTCATTGCCATTTTAAAGATGAGGAGGAATCTGAACCACTGCTGTGATTTTCTGAATCCAAGGCATATGTTTGGAAATGCAAAATAATCAGTATTTAAAATAATTATTTTAATGGCAACTCCGAGCACATTATTTGCACATGTCATTGGATAATCCAGTATAGTATAGTATATTCAGCATAGAGAATTTCACCCTTCTCAGTTACTATGTAGAACAGTGAACCCAGAATTCACCAAATTGCTAAATAATATGAGATGTCATTTATTTCAATAACTAAAAAACCCAATCACAATGCATTTCAATTCAAATATATATGCCAAGAGCATATGTTAAGTTACTATTTCTACTACAGAATAACTCAAGAAATTAGAGAATGCATGTAGTCCATTAAAATACTAATTTTTAATAAATAAGAAGAAAGTATATTTTAAGTGTGTCTAAATAACATAAAAATACTTGTATTCATTATTTCAACTTTTATCCACTAGGATTCTGTGATTGCAAGCAACAAAATTTAAATTTTGGCATAATTAAAAAGTAATATCGTGGAGAAATATGGGGCAGTGCAGCTAAAGAAGATACTGAAATGCAAGTTTAAGAAAAGACAGAAACCTGGCATTACAGAGCTGTAGGTTCATGTTCTAATAGATGATGTATATGAGACAGCACTGTCTGGATAAATCAGTTCCAATTAAAGTTGATCTTGTGATTCCTAACTCATAAGTGCAAGTTTTAGCCTAAAGAGTTCAAATGACATAACTCAGATGCAGAGACCACACTTGCCTAGAAAGGGCACATTGATTAGGAGCCCCAAGTAAACAACAAAAGAAAAGAAAGGACATTTTCCAAAGTGAAATAGGAAGGTTGAATAGACACTGAACAGGTAAAAGCAAGAACACCCAATACAAATAAAAGAAAAACATGAGAAAGAATTAGCTTTAATTGTTCAAATATTTGTTTATCTTGTGTAAAGCCATCCATGAGGTAATGCATTTTAATTTTTGAAAAATAGTAATGCCCAAGAAAAAGTTATTGCACTGGTTTCAATGTTATTGTTGTTGTTTTGAAATCTGAGAATCGGTTTCAGAAGGCACCCTGACATCAAATATGTTAGCTTATTATAAACTAATATTTCAAGAAAATGAATTATTTTATTATTTCTGTGTATTCAGGTAGAAAAAATTCACAAATTATAGAAACAAAATTAACTGAATATTAAAAGATTGCATTTAATTTTCTTTAAATAATTATTCTAAAGCCATGCTGGAGGATTGTGACACTATTGTATTACTGGAAATCAGATAAACAGACACATACACACATATATGTACAAACTTCATAATATTAATATGCCTGATTTTGTACATTTGTCTATTTTCTTGGACTTTATTTCTGGATATCGGTTATTAAAAGCTGAGTAAAATATAGCCTAATGTCATGCAATTAAAAATGTTTAGCACATATTTAATAAGATGAAATCTATAAATTACCTGGAACTCATTAAAATGGGTTCTATATAAATACAACATTATTAATACCTCAAAAATATGTGCAACATATAGATTTTAAAAGTGTATGGGGCATAAAAATCAGTGTAATATGTTTGTGAGATTTTTTTCTGAAAGTGGATCAGTAACCTGTTTTCAAGAATTGATTTAGAATCCCAGGAACTGAGTAAGATTGATGCTTGGATTTCTATACACTCCTGAAAGATTATTTGACAGTTTTCAATTTTTTATGCCATTTTGACCTGAACACCATGTCCTTTGAAATATGCATTTATGATATAGGTCCTTTGAAGCTAATAGATTTCTCTGAATTATTCCTGCCCTGATGTAGAAACATGCTTTATAACACCATTTCAAAAACATCATTTACAGTGAGACAAGGTACGTGACCTCCAGAAATGCCAGAAGTGCTTTATGGATAAGTTTGTCATCTTATTCTCCAGGTCATTTTGACACATGTATCATTTCATCTCGGTCTGACCAACAGGTCTCCATGTCATCCCCACTTGGAATATAAAGTGTGTTGTCTCTGAATCTGTCTTTCCTATACCTTAGTCCATGATTTGAAGTCCTGTCTTCCTTGATGCTTTATTTGAGATACTAGACAGAAATATGAAAAGATGAAAAGAAAACTTAAAATAAGACAAATGTTTTGTAGTCATCTATATTACTTCCATCATTTAGTTTTTTTTTCTCATTTTTTAACTTTAACTTATCCTCTGATACAAAGTAAACAAAGTGGCCAGGCGCCATGGCTTACACCTGTAATACCAGCACTTTAGGAGGCCAAGGCGGGCGGATTACGAGGTCAGGAGATCGGCACCATCCTGGCTAACACGGTGAAAACCCGTCTCTACTAAAAATACAAAAAATTAGCCAGGCGTGGTGGCACCTGCCTGTAGTCCCAGCTACTCAGGAGGCTGAGGCAGGAGAAGCGCTGGAACCCAGGAGGCGGAGGTTGCAGTGAGCCGAGATTGCACCACTGCACTCCAGCCTGGGCGACAGAGCAAGACTCTGTCTCAAAAAAAAAAAAAAAAAAAAAAAAAAAAAAGATTAAACAAAGTGAGAAACTAAATGAGAAAAACTAAAATACAATGAAGATAATAATGAGAATACAAAATATAAACTGTAAATATGGTTTGAGAGACAAGGCATGAGAGGAATTAGGCATCTTGCTTTGAAACGAAGTATATTTAAAAAAATAAATGGTTGATATTCAGTTAAAATCCCAGATAATATTTATTCTTTTTATGGTATTCTTTAAACTGGTTTTTTGTTTTGTTTTGTTTTTTGTTTGTTTGTTTTTTTTTAGAATATGAACTTTTGTGTGTATTTTAGGATTTGTTTTGGAGGTGGTGGTGCATAGATATAGCTCAGTGGTCTACAAACTATGGCCCATGAGCCAAAATTGGCCCATTACGTATTTATGTAAATAAAGTTTTGTTTCAACAAAGACACGGCTATTTATCTGTATACTGTCTACAAATATTTCCATGCTAAAATAATAGAGAACTAGTTGTCTCAGAGGCCAGATGGCCCAGGAAGACTGAAATATTTACTTCCTGACCCTTTACAGAGTATGTTTGCCAATTTTTGGTCTGGCTCATAATTCATTCCTGAAATGCCTGTATATCAGTTACTTTTGAACTACTTTACAGTACAAAACACTAGAGATGTGAGTTGTTTCTGTAGGTAAGATTACTTGAGATAACAATGGTTGAAGTTATGTACTATCATCTGAAAATCATAAAAAATCTTTTCAAAGGAGATGTGAAAATTTTAGAAATTATAGTTGATGATGCTCAGAGAGAGAGATGATTTCAACCCCAAAAGCAATATCCACTTTTGGAATAACTGTTATTTATTTTTACAGATTGGTTACAGATTCAAAATGCTTTATTTTGTAATGATATCTATCAATGCCTAAGAAGAAGAACAAGAAAGTAGCATCAAATGTACTGTTAAATATATGATGGTGTTACATCACTAAGGGTTGCATAAAATACAAAATGTTTAAAAAATCATAAAATTAAAATTTACTAACAGTAAATCTCAATAAAATTACTTAAAGTCCAGCTTTTCATCAAACATTTCTTTTACATTCTAAAGGAGAACATAATTAATATAAAAATGTACTTTTAATCTATAATTTAATGTAATATTCAAACTACCTTTAAGGGATAATTAAGCCAGAATCTATTCAATAAAGGTTAAAACATTCAAATGCTCTTTTCAATATTTTAGATGGAGACATGCCAAAACTTTCAACCCAAATCGTCTGTTTTTCTTTTCTTCTCTAAGATGTGTCAGCTCAAATTCCCTAAAACAGTTTCATGGATAACATATTTCTTTTTTGAAAGAAACTGTGGAAGATATGTCTTTAGTTCAACAATATCTGTATTTTGGAAAACTTTTTTCAATCATATTGTTTCAACTAAAATAAATGTAGAATTTTCGTGAGTCCAGTGATATTTTTCCTATCACAAACTGCTAAAATTTAACACATATTTTAGCATCTTCAACTTTAATTGAAACAAACTTTAATTTTAACTGAAGAATCATGATGATAGTCAATTTGCTCAGACTTCATAGTTAAAAGTGAGAGGAAATCTAGTTTAAATCTAAAATAAATACATTTGTTCACATATATTGATGCAGTTTTGGATTCTAGGTCTGACCTAGCTACAGGGACTCCAAAAATGACATCAGGACAAGTTTCCCTCTTCCACTCCCCTGTCTTTTATTTTTGCTCTGTCTTTATTCACAGATGGAATCTCTTCTTTTAGACAACAGCATTTGCATGTAGAGCAAAAGAGACTGACTCTGGTAGTGTGTAGGCCCATATATGAAGAGTAGCCAGGAAGCAGAAGACATAGGTCTAAGTTACCATGTCTAACCCTGAGCTGAGACATAACTCCTGAAAGGAAATAACAGGATTTTATTATGAGAAAAATATGGATGTTGGCGAGCCAAAGATCAAATGAATCTTCATTCAATAACGTTTCAACTTGTTACATTAAAATTACAGAGAAAAATATAAAATAGCAATTTTTCCCCTAGACATACATACCATATGTGTTTTTTCTTTAAAATTTGCTAGTTATAATACTGTAACTAAAAAGCATATGGATTAAGGTAACTGGTTAGTATCACCTTTTGGGCTATCCCAAGAGGAATTATTAGAGAAAGACAAAGTAGGTAACTAATAAGCTAATCAGCAAAAAATTTAGCTTACTAAATGGCAATGAGAAACAACTACATCACAACAATGAATAGGAACTAATAATTTTGTTTATGAATAATATTAATAAGTCAAAATAATTACACATGGATACCATCAACTCTTAAAAGCAAACAAATATCAATTGTTCAAATTATTAAGAATTTAAGGTAAAAAAATAAAAATGACCATAGGGAAAAGTCAATGGCATATTATATACATTTTTTCAGTTATATTGAGGTATACTTGACAGATAAAAACTGTCTATGTTTAAGGTGTAAAACATAATGTTTTCATATATGTATACATTGTACAATGACTATCTCAATCAAACTAGTTAACATATGTATCACCTCACATAGTTACGATTTTTTTGTGGTGAGAACACTCAAGATCACTCACTCACCAAATTTCTAGTATATTTGCTTAGCGCAAAAATAATTGGGTTTTTTAACCATTACTTTTAATATAGTTTTGGTCTCCAGGCCTGATCTAGCTACAGGGACTCCAAAAATGATATCAGGATAAGTTTCCCTCTTCCATTTCCCTCTCCTTTATGGTCACTGTCTCCTATGGTCACCATCTCCTTTGTAGTCTCCTATAGTCATTGTCTTAAGCTGTTTTTGTTGCTGTAACAGAATATCTGAAACTTGGTTTTTATAAACATGGCCATCATTTCTTAGACCTCTGGTGCCACATCAAAACATAGCAGAACAGGTCAAGGGGAAATCAGGGACATGCAAAGAGAAGGAAATCAGAGGGCCATCCTGGCAGAACCTGTTCCCATGAGAATTAATCCACTCTCATGGTGGCAAGAACTCACTCACTACCAGGAGAACAGCAGCAAGCCATTCATGAGGGATCTAATTCCATAATGCAAACCTCTCCCACTAGGTCTCATCACCCAATACTGCCACACTTGGGATCAAATGTTAACATAACCTTAATGGAGAGAAGCAAACCATATTCAAATCATAGTAGCCATCCTGCGGTAAATTAGATCTCTAGAATGTATTCGTCCCAAATAAGTGAACCTCTTTATCCTTAACCAAGGTCTCCCCATTTTCCTACTTCCTAATCCTTGAACCCACTATACTATTTGCTGCTTTTACGCCTTTGAGTTTTTAAGATTCCACATATGAGTGAGATCATGCGGTATTTGTCTTTCTGTGTCTGGCTTATTTCACTGAACATAGTGTCCTCAAGATCATCTATGTTGTTGCAAATGGCAGAATTTTCTTTTTTTAAGGTTGAATGATATTCCATTGTGAGTGTGTATATGTGTGTGTGTCTCCATTTAACTGTCATTGAACGTTTAGGTTTTTTTCTATGTGTTGGCTATTGTGAATAATCCCACAATGAATTTGGGAGTGCATATATTCCTTTGAGATACTGATCTCGTTTTCTTTGGATATATGCCCCAGAAATGGGATTGCTAGAGCATGGGGTAGTTCTATATTCTGAGAAACCTCCACACAGTTCTCCATAAAGGCTGTACTTATTTACATTCTCAGCAGAAGTGTACAAGAGTCTCCTTTTTCTTCGCATCCTTGACAAAACTGACTGTATTTGTTGTCTTTTTGATAACAACTATTTTAACACATGTAAGGTAATATCTCATTTTTTTCTTTTTCATGTATTCTTATTTTAATTTTTATGGGTAAATTATATATATATATATATGGAGTACATGAGGCGTTTTGATACAGGCATGGAATGTGAAATAAGCACATCATGGAGAATGAGGTAACCATCCACTCAAGTATCCTTCCTTTGAGTTCTACAAACGATTCAGTTACACTCTTAGTTATTTTAAAATGTATAATTAAGTTCTTATGGACTATAGTCACCCTGCCAGGCTATCAAATAATAATCTTACACATTCTATTTTTTTGATGGGTTAACCATCCCCATCTTCCCACTACCCTTCCAAGCCTGTGGTAACCATTCTTTTACTCTCTATGTCCATGAGTTCAATTGTTTTGGTTTTTAGAACCTGCATATAAGTGAGAACATGCAATGTTTGTCTTTCTGTGACTGGCTTATTTCAGTTAACATAACGATATCTAGTTCCATTTATGTTGTTGCAAATGACAGGATTTTATTCCTTTTTATGGTTGAATACTACTCCATTGTGTATATGTAGCACGTTTTCTTTATCCCTTCTTCTGTTGATAAATTAAAGAAATTGGGGAAGACACTAAAAATGAAAAAATATTTTATGTTTCTGGGTTGGAAGAGTCAATATTGTTAAAATGTCTATAAGACACAAAGCAATCTCATTGTAGTTTTGATTTCCATTTCTCAGTAGCAATGTGGTGCACCTGATTTATCTATACTTGTGAGTAATGTGTGTGTCTTCTTTTGAGAAATGTTTATTCAGGTCCTTAGCCCATTTTAAAAATCTGGTTGTTTTACGCTATTAAGTGATTTATTTGACCTCCTTATAAATTTTGCATATTAACACCTTATCAGATATATGGATTGGAAATATTTTCTCTCATTCCAAAGACTGCCTTTTTATTCTGTTAATTGCTTGCTTACTTAGGCAGAAGCTTTTAAGTTTGATGTAATGTCACTTGCCTATTTTTCATTTGAGATTGTGCTTTTGGTGTCATTTTCAAAAATCATTGACCGTACCACTGTCAAGAAGCTCTTTATAGATGTCTTTTAGAAGTTCTACAGTTTTAGGTCTTATGTTTAAGTCTTTAATCCACTTTGAGTTTTTTTTTTTGTATATGGTTGGTGAGGGATACGTGTATTTACCTGCCAAAACCAGTCTGCAGAAACAGGAAGAGGTATTTACCAATGCACAGACAACAAAGCAAGGCTACACAGATAATGAAAAGTCGTGGAAACATGACGTCCCTAAAGGAAACTAATAAAGCTCTATAACCAAACACCAAAAAGTGGAGATGTATACATTACCTGACATTGAATTAAAAACACATTTTAAGGAAGTGCAGCAAGGCACAAGGGAACATGGATAAATAATTCAATAAAATCAGGAAAATAATACATGAACAAAACTAGAAGTTAAACATAGAGATAAAAATTATAAAAAAAAGAGCCAAGCAAATTCTGGAGCTGAAAAACAAACAAATGAAATACAAAATACAATACAACTGAATTTTCTGCATGTGAAAGTTGTTTTCCCAGTGACATTTATTAAAGAGACTGTCTTCGTTGTGTGTTCTTGGCACACTTGTCAAAGTTCATTTGACTATAGATGTGTGGATTTATTTCTTGGAATTTTTTCTGTTCCATTCATTTATATAATGGTTTTTAGGGGTACTTCTGTTTTGAACACTGTAGCTTTGCAATATATTTTGAATTCAGAGGGTGTGATGCCTCCAGCTTTGTCCTTCTTGCTCAGTATGGCTTTGTCTACCTGGAGTCTTTTGTGGTTCATTATGTATTTTGGTATTTTCTTATATCTATAAAGAATATCATTGGCATTCTGACACAAATTGCATTGAATCTGTAGGTCACTTTGGATAGTATGTTTATCTTAACACTATTAATTCTTTTAATCCATGAGCAGATTACCTTCCATGTATTTGTGTGTTTAATTTTTTCCATCAATATTTGTTTTTCTGTCCCTTTCTGTCTCTTCTCTTTGTAAAAATTCCATAATGCATATATTGGTTTGCTTTATTGTGTCCCATAAGTTGCATACTTTCTTCACTCTTTTTTATTCTTCTTTTTCCTCTGTGATTAGATAATTTCAAAAAACCCATCTTTGAGTTTACCACTTTTCTTTGCTTAAATTAATCTGTTGTAGAAGCTCCCTATTGTATTTTTCATTTCATTTGTTTATCTTTCATCTTCAGAATCTGTTCAGTTCTTTTTTATAATTTGTATCTCTACATTTAACCTCTAGTTTTATGTATTGTTTTCCTAATTTTATCAATTTATTTATTTGTGTTCTGTTGTGCCTTGCTGTACTTCCTTAAAATGTCTGTTTTTAATTCAATGTCAGGTAGTGTGTACATCTCCACTTTTTGGTGTTTGGTTATAGATCTTTATTAGATTCCTTTAGAGATGTCATGTTTCCATGACTTTTCATGATCTGTGTAGCCTTGCTTTGTTGTTTGTGCATTGGTAGAGTAAATACCTCTTCCCGTTTTTACAGACTGGTCTTGGCAGGTAAAGGCCTTCCCCAGCCAGATGCTCAGCCTAATGGGACTGCCGAGAGGATCACAGTTGAATGGAGCTGGAGTAAGTCACAGGTCTGTTGTTGGGCCTGCAGTTGAGTTTACATTTGGCAGGCCTGTTATCAAGCACATGGTCAGGTATGGTTCCTGCCAAATCAACAGGTGGACAGGACTACCTCTTGGACCACAGGTAGGTAAGACTAGAGGCAGATTATTAGGCCTATTACATGTTTACTATGAGGTCCTCCCAGAATGGGCCTGTTGCTAGTGGTGCATGCAGTTCAGAAGGCTCCTGCCAGATCCCTAAGCAGGCTCTTGTTGGATCAATGGAAAGGTCCCAGGACAAGCAAGCAGGACTGCCTCTGGGACTGTGATGGGGTGTGGTTGGGGCTGAGTAACAGGGCTGCTTCAGGGTCCACAGTTGGATCCAAGGTTGGTAAGCCTGTTACTGAGGGTCCTGATTGGCATAGATCTCACCAAGTCCCTGATCAGAGAGGATTACCTATAGACCATGATAGAGTGGGACTGAAGCCAGGTCAAAGGGCTGCTTCAACAGCCCTACCACAGTCAAGTTTGAGATTAATGGGCATGTTATCAGGGACATGGACAGGAGTGTTTCCTGTTGGGTCCCTGGACAGGTTGGTCTGTGCCTAGACTGTAGTTGAACAGGGCCACAGGCTGATTTAGGGTCTGCAGTCAGATCAAGGTTGGTGGACCTGTTACTGAGGACATGGACAGGTATGTCTCCCACCAGGCCCTGAGTGGGCAGGGCTGTCCCAAGACAGCAGCAGAACAAGTCTAGAACCAAGTCTCAGGAATGCTTTAAGGTCCACAGCCAGGACTGTGAGCCTGCTACCACGGACACAGACAGGTGTTGCTGGATCCCTGGATAGGCAGGGCTTACTCTATAACTCATTATAGAGTAGGACTGGAGCTGGGTCACAGAGCTCCTTCAGAATCCACAGTTAGGACTGGAGTCAGTGAGCCTGTTCCTAGGGATACAGATGAGCTTCTCTCCCACTGGCTCCCTGGGTATGTAGAACAGCCACTAGACTGTGGTAGAGAAGGGCTACAACGGGATTACATAGCTGCTGCAAAGTCCACAGCCAAAAATGGAGTCAGAAGTCCTGTTAGTGGGGATGCAGATGAATGTGTTTTTCTCTGGGTCTCTTAGAAGAGAAGGCTAGTTGCAGGACCATGGCAAAGTACCGTTGGAGCCAAGTCCATAGGGAGACAGAACTGCTTTCAGTCTGGGGCTAAGACCACATTCAGTGAGACTGCCACCAAGGCACAGTCCTGCATACTCAAAGCAGTCCTCCTCTATCTTGGGCTTCTCTGGTATTTCACAGCATTCTACCTAAATGTCAGAGCTACTACTGAGAAGGCATTTTTGTTGGAGAGTGACTGCCAGATCATTGTTTGTGCAGAAGAGATGTGAGCTGAGATACCTCTTATTCCACCATCTTGCTGAGAATATACTATGTAGTTCAAGAATAAATAATTTCTCTCTCAAAAATATAACTTGGTGACTGCCAAATTATGCCCTATAATAAAAATATGCTTAAAAGAATAATTGCTCTATGCTTTTCCAAACAGTATACTATATGGAGAGTAAATAAACAAATTTTAAATTTATTTTGTGAACAAATACTCTTTTGGGTCTAACGCATAAAAGTAATCCTTATTACCTTTACTAGAAATAATAGGCCGAGGGGAGTGGATCACTTGAGGTCAGGAGTTCAAGACGAGCCTGGTCAACATGGTGAGACTCCATCTCTACTAAAAATACAAAAATTAGCCGGGCATGTTGGTGTGTGCCTGTAGTTTCAGCTACTCGGGAGGCTGAGGCAGAAGAATCTTTTGAATCCGGGAGGCAGAGGTTGCAGTGAGCCGAGATTGCACCACTGCACTCCAGCCTGGGTGACAGAGTGAGCAAGACATCATCCCCCAAAAAAAAACAAAAACAAAAGCAAACAGAAAAGTAATGTTTTCTATGTACATAGTATAAAGAATATTTTTCCTATATTGCCATACATTTTTTTCCAGTCTAAATGAAAAAGAAAAAAAAACTTCAAATTGATTGGATAATGAATGATATCTTTCCATTGGAATGTTCATTGCCACATCAAACATTAAATTAATTATCATATAATTTCCACTAAACAAACATCAATAACATAATATTGCAACCATTATCTCACAAGTCTATAATTAACAGAACTCTTGTTTATGACCTCCAGGTTCTAGTCAAGTCTTATATCATGTAAATGGATGACATTTGTCATTACATCAGTTGTAATTTATTTCCAAAACTTGCAAGATATCCACCAAACATGTCCTGTAGTTGTGAGTTTGTTTATGTTTGACCCTGAACTCAATAGTTTATTTTGAAGAGGAACATCAAATGTTGTGGAAATATAATTATATAGTACTTCATTTTTTATGAGGTCCTCTCCTATATCACATTGATTAATGATCCTAGGAGATAAACATGCTTTAATAATAAAATAGAACAATTTCCATTTCTATAAGGTCAACAATACCTCCAACCAACAAATATCAGAGAAATCATGATTGTCATTTCTTTCTTTTTGGTGACTTAAAGTAATATAATTGGAGAAATATCTGTTACTTTCTACTTGTTAATTCGAATTTGATGTGGCTAAATAAAGATTTAAGTAAAAAATATTTTTATGTAAAATATAAAGACATATATTCCTGACAGGCAGAGATACCATTACAGTAACAAGGATAGTGGCTATATTGAACAATAACATATAGCTTCAAATAGCTATAAGAACGATATTGAATATTCCCAACACAAAGAAATAATAAATGTCTGAGATAATGGATATGATAATTACATTGATCTGACCGCTACACATTATATGTATCAAAATGTCACTGTATATCACATAAATATGTATAATTATATGTCAATTAAATAAAACACACAAAGAAGTTTGAGAACTGGCATAGAAACATAAACCAATAATTGGAAAACTGATTGGGTCATATTCTGGGAAACAAATCAGCAGTTAATATATGGATATCCCAAAATATAATTGAATCAGAACACCATCTGCAAAATATTTTAACAAAAAGACCTCATAGGGCAGTTTAAAGGCATTGTCTCAGGTTTATCTAAATTATTTCTGTGACTTTAGTGTATAGACCCTAATTAGTATAAGATTTAGAGATGTGTATGGACCATCATGTAAGAATAATAACTGAAGGAAATATTTTCATAAACATGCACTTTAGTACCAAGTGTTACCATATTTATTTGTACTATGTAAATAAGCAGGTTAATGTCAAGCACAATTTTATCACCTGAGAATGATTAAAAACATGAGAGAAGAAATAGAGAAAATAAAATCATATTTTGAGTGATTTCTAAGGCCTAACTGAAAGAGGCAAGGACAGATACGCCATATATAACTTTAAGTGTGGTATTGTATTTACTACATTTTAAGTACTAAGTAATAAATACATATAAATGCAGTTTTATTTAAAACTATTGCCATATCCAATATTATACTTTTCTTATAATAACTAGGCAGCTATGTTTACATAAAAGTAAGAAAAACAGATGCACTGCTTTTTCTAATTTCTTTCTTCTTTGGTACACCATAATTATCAATGTTTTTCAAGTGTAATATTTTCCCCTTTACCTAACCACCATTTTCCTTCATTGTCTTACAAAAATGCACTTTATTGCATTTAATAAATTATGTTAAATGTGCTTCCATGACAAGTACATTTGTTGCCATCATTTTTAATTCACATGCATCTTTCTATATGCTAGCACCTACTTATGTCTGCATTTTTTAAACTCAACACAAAGTTTAAAAATTTCTGTGTTCTAGCAAGCATGATTATTTTAATCACTTAAATAACAATGCATTTAAGATACACACTTAGCTTTATTTCCTGAAATCATTCTAAAACACCAATAGAGAGTAAGAAGGAATGAATAATATGTAAGTAAAGGAGAAGTGATAAAGCTGGAAGTTGGTGAAGGATGGAAACCTAAGCATGGAAAGAATGTGAGAAGCGAGGGTGTATTCATTTTGCAGAAGCCCACCAAAGCATAAGAATTGAAGACTTCAGGAACCTCTAACAGTGGGTATGGAATAGGTCTGAAAAGAATAGGGCTGTTTAAAAGCACTTATAAAAAGTAGTTAAAGCCCCAGATCACTTCCTACTCAAGTGGAAGGTAAATGTCTCTGGGCTCAGAATGAACAACTGAGGGATGGAATGAAAGTTAGTGCAGAAGATTTTAAACGAACGTCTAGAATTTAACCATTAGATATACAGGATTTTTTTTTGTTTTACTCAACAATCATAATGTTGGCAGTCAGTATTATATACGTGACAGGACATTAAACTGTTTCTTTCCAGGGAATGGAAAGAGCCAAGAATAAAAGACAGACTTCTGAGGATTCCCAACCAAACTTCTGGTTTCCACACAATCACCAAAAAGTGAACCAGAATTTCATAATCTGAATCTTAATATGCACATACAGGAGAGGATCACTAGATATTTGTGGGACTATCCCCAATTAACAAAAACATTGTGCACACCCATTGTGCACACCCACAGACAGGAAAACTTTAAAACATTACCTAATATACCGAAATAGTCTCAAAAATGAGAAGATAAAGGATTTGCAGGAAAGCAAATTTCTGTCAAATATATCAAGTCTTCCTAAGCTAATTTATGAAAATAATATGACTCCAATGCATATATCAATGTTACATATTTTCTAAAACTAGTTAAGTTAATTCTTATGTTATGAGGAAATAATTTCAAGACCAATAGTAAAGAAAAGCAACGCAGAAAAAGAGAAATAGGTAAGGGACATTCAAATCATATATTAAACATATTATAAATTCTTGGTCACACTGAACATGAACAGATAAATGAAAGAAAATAAAAAAACTCAAAGACAAATGCAAATACATTTTGGAGATATGTACATGACAAGGTAGAATCTCATTTCAGTGTGGAAAAAGAAAGTGCTTTTAGGATTCTGAAAGTGCTTATAGGATTCTATTCTGTTTTTTTCTTTTTATTGTTAAAGTCCAAATATACATCAATGCTAGACTGTTTGATATTGTTCAACAGACATTTAATAATTTGGTGTTTTTTTTCCTATGTCTGTGTTTTAGTTTGGGTAATTACTATTGACTTATTATTTTCATGGACTCTTTTGTGTTGCTTTTGTTTTCAGTTCTTTTTTAGGCCTATCAAAATATTTTTCATCTCTGATATTTTGGATTTTTATTTCTAGACTTGTATTTGCCAATTTTCTATAGTTTTCATGTCTCTACTAAAATGTGTCTATTTATGCTTCATCGTTTTTCTCGTACCTCACCGCATGACAGCACATCTTTCTCCTGAGTCTTGTCTTTTCTTAGAGGGGCATGCCATGCTTTCAGATTTAGTTTACCAAGTTGCACTGTAAGATCAGGACTATAATAGGCTCAGAACACTACAATTATGTATACTTTTATACTGTTATGGCTTTTTCTTATGATTTGGTTGAATTTCATATTATATTGCTTTTTTATATTCCAAGTGAAAGAGAAGAAAATTAAACTGTAAAAGAATCATATCATTAAAGTACTAGAAGGAAATATGAACAAACTGTCTTGTGAAGTGAAAGAACAAAACTTCTCTCAAACTATGAAAATAGTTGGCACCTAGAAGCCTAAAATGATAAATTTTAATATATACAAATAAAAACTGCTTCGTGGAAGAAAATACCATAAGCAATATTAAAAGAGATGTCAAGCTGGAAAATATATTTATGTTTCTATAGCAGCAAAATACTATTCTTCTTAATATAGATATAGTGCCTAGTAATTGAAAAAGAGCAGATAAATCCAACTACCTGCCTCATCCATATTCCAGTGGTGTTCTGTCACCATCTTTAAAGCCAACATTGATGTATATCTTGGTGTCATCTTTCTGTGGTAGTGTCTCCTCTGACTCTCTTCCCTGTCTTCCTTATTCACTTTGTGATTAAATGGTGATTACATTGTGATTGCCATTGTTATGACATTGGGCATACCCGTATAATCCAGTGTAATCTCTCCATCTCAAATTCCTTAGAGTCTCTGTGTCATGTAAGGTAGCATATTCACAGATTCTTAGGAACAGAATGTGGATATATTTAGGAAGCTGTTATTCTCTCTCTCTTCCGAATTAGCAATTCTCTGCTTTTACTCCTCTCAAAGCCATGATAATCTCTTCCCTGCAGTACTTCAGTTGACTCTGAAATAGTCTCTTTACTACCACTCTTGTTTACCTAAACTTTACTCTGAACACATCAGCCAAAGTGGAATCTTTTAAAATGTTAGCAATATTATGTTACTTTGATCAAAATCTTCAAATGGATTTCTACTTTACCTATAGTAAAACCCAATAATCTTAAAGTGGTCTAAAAGCCTTAACATCATTTGACAGCCCAATATTTCACCTCTAACTATTCACGTCTACCATGGAGTCTTTACTGTCTCTACAAATGGCAAGACTATCCTCCTTTAACATCTTTGACTTGCAATTCTATGTGCCTGGAACAACCTTTCCCATGCAGCTCTCCATATCTGAACACCCCACTCTAGTACTTTCTACAGGTCACCTAAATGTCACTTTATCAGTGATGACTTCTTTGACCATTTATTTACAGTATTCCTCTCTATTCCTCTTTCATGTTTTATTCTCCATAGCATTTACCTTCCCTTTAGAAAGGACATATTTGTCTCCTTAATTCTTTATGTCTACTAAAATATAGTCTTCTTAAGTGTAAAGACTGTTCAATATTTTATTCACTGCTGTATCCACAACACCTACAACATTGCCTAGCCTAGAGTGATGCTGAGTAATTATTTGACAATCACAGGCATAAATGAATGCATGCACAACAAGCTCCGCTTCCTCATCACAACACTGTTTCAATTTCTGTGCAAGGTTGCCCTTGACCAGATCTTTGACAATATGCCCCTTCCAGCCAGTTTTCATTTCAATCCATTTACCTAATGTTGCATCATATCTATGTGTTACAATCTAGAGCCTGTACACTCAAATATAGTTGAATAAACTTTGCCTTGTCTATCATCTGCAGTACATAATTTTCTCTCAAAAATAAATTGACTGTATGGCACAATTCTTCAACTAATCCATATATTAATTAGCCAACATCTAGAGAGAGAATATGTATGTCCTGGTTGACTTTTAAAAAAAAAATTCATAGAAGAATTTGCAGCTGCTATAATATGCTTAATTTATAATATACTTCATCTCGAGAAACATAACAACACAAAAGACATTTGAATTCCTAAATGATATATTTGGAACAAACATAAAAACTATAATTAATGAAATAAATATATTTGTATGCTTAAAAATATGCAAACCAATAGGTTGAAAATGTTCACTTTAATGTAGATAAAAATCACAAGAATAGAAAACTGCAATGCCAAGGAAAAAAAGAGAAATATCGTAAGGAAAATAATTAAACAAAAACAACAATGCTAAGTAGTTTTACAGCTATTCTCTGTAGCATTTAAAACTAGATTCAAGAAAAGAATAGATATTTGTATTTCAAGTTTTAGTATCATCTCTTTGTATCTCGAGAACTGTAACAATCAAAATTATGTGTTGCAGAATAAAATCTGTTCTGGCTACTCAGAATATTTACTAATCTTTGTCTCCTCTATGATATGTTTCCATATTTTTGGTCAGGAGGATATAGTGAAATTCCACTTCAGTACATCCTTCGGCTCCAAACTGGTACTTCTTAAAAATTAATATGCGGCCTGGCACGGTGGCTCACCCCTGTAATCCCAGTACTTTGGCAGGCTAAGGCAGGTGGATCACCTGAAGTCAGGAGTTCAAGACCAGTCTGGACAACATGGTGAAACCCACCTCTACTAAAAATACAAAAAATTAGCTGGGTGTCCTGATGGGCACCTGTATTCCCAGCTACTTGGGAGGCTGAGCAGGAGAATTGCTTGAACCTGGGAGGTGGAAGTTGCAGTGAGCCGAGATTGAACTACTGTACTCCAGCTGAGCAACAAGAGCAAAACTCCGTCTCAAAGAAAAAAAAAATTAATAGGCAGTTGAATAACTTAGGAAACATGTTAAAATGCAAATTCTAATCCAGTAGCCCTGGGTTGAGGCCTAAGAGTCTTTAATTCTAATAACCTATCATGTGACAACAATGCTAGTTTTGAATGACTACTTAATAAAGCAAGCACACAGAAATATATAAATATATAAATGTACAAGCAACAACACAAGACTCAAAACAAAATAAACATCTTTATTATCTAATAAGAAACCAAAAAGAAAGCTGTGAGAAAAAAATTCTATGGGTTTGTTGAGGTCTAGATAATCATAAAGACAGTAGCATGATGGAACTCAGTTCTCTGATTATCAGATGGAAAGTACTTAATATGAGAGAAGAAACTTGACCCACTTCCAAAGTTTAATGCCAGCAGCTGATGTGCGGTTCCTCTATCTTAAAAGCATGCTAAAAAATTGAGGCTCGTCACACTAGGCCTGATGCAATGGCTTTAGAGCAACTTGTGAACCTAAGGATGGTGGAAGACAAGCAGCTTTGCAAGCAGAAGCAAATCCAGTTCTCCCACTAGAGTCATGGATGAATTTCTAGCACAAGTATCACTTCAAAGAAGAAGCAACAGCCTGTGATTACAACCTCTGGCCCAGGAGAGAAGATCAGAACCAGGCAGAGCCAATGAAAAATGATACACCTCTGAAAAAGACAGAGAGATACATAAAAGAACAGCTCAAGTAACAAAGCAAAAAGAAACAACAACAACAAAAATCTCCCAATCACCCAAAAAGTTAACTCAAAACCAAATCTGCAATATATAATGAAATGTAATATCTAATGCTAACAAAGGCAAGTTTTCTCTTTAAAAAGTCAGATTATAACGTTAGCACAAATTAAATAATTTTTTCGATGTTTATATTATAAATATTCAAGTAGCCAATGTAGAAAGTCACTCACATAGCAATCACATAAATTCAACAGTTATTAATAATTTGTCATGCTTGTGTGTGTATTCACACATGTATACATAATACATGTACATATATAAACACACAGATCTATACGTGTGCTTTAGTGTATATTTGTGTGTGTGTAAGTGCACATATTTTTGAAGTATTTGTGGAAAAAATTACACACAAAATTGCTCTTCACTCCTAAATACTTTAGCATGCATTTCATAAGCACATTTAATTTCTCCTACACAAATGCAATACTTTCATCAAACCTAAAAAAAGAAATAAGAAATCCCACTAAGTAACATCTTAATTATTTTTTAAATTCCCTAAATTGTTCTCAAAATATGTCATATATCTTTTGTAAAATATCAAACATCCAATTAAGTCTCTCATGTTGTTTTTAGATCTTATAGCTTTTTAACACTTTTAATCTAGAAACATCACTATTTCCCATCTTTTTAAGTATACATTGACTTTTATATGAAACTTGACATAGACTCTAAAAAATGTTTTATCTATTTAACTTTCTGTAGACTGAGAATTATAGTTAAAGATAATCAAATTCAAGTATGTTTTCCAATAATATTAAGTGATATTATGTTTTCTTATTGAATCTCATGTTAACACACATAAGTGAGATTTGTCCAAAATTATTGATGCTATTTGATCTCATATGCAATTTGCAACTCATCTACTTGGTGATAATATGACACTATGAAAATATCCTGTTTTCCATGATGTTATATCTAATATTTTTAGCTTTCATTGGTTCCCCTTGACAGGATATATATCTATTGAAGATTATAAAGTGATGATCTATTAATTTTCTTCCTCCTTATACATTCATTATGTGAGATTCTTCTATAAAATAGACATTCTCCTCATCAACTGGGATGACAAAAATTTCTTATAAATTGTAATAATATATACTTTGAGTGTTTTTCTTAATAATAGTCTACATTTTTCATATAAATGCAGTGAATTGCTTTCATTTATTCTATTTTAGGTAACTCTACATTCACTTTAAAAAACTACTTCCATGCTCTACTACAAAACAAACTCCTAAAAATTGTTTCTGTAATGCAAAGAAATATACAACTTAAATTGTGGGAAAGTGTAGCAGAATATTTCTGTATTGCAGTCATTTTGGCATTGTCCACATTTCTTAAACACCTAACTTGTCTGATAACACACAATGTAAACAGCAGGTATGAAAAATAAACATTTACATATACTTCTAAATTTCGTTGTGGATTTCCTATTGGCATTGGATAACTAATCATATGTACAGCTGCAGTAGTAGGATATAAATATGCCTATTGTCTCATACCACTGTGCATATTTGGAGTGTTACTTCCCACGTTGCGCCTTGCTATTGCAACTATTTTGTTTAATCTCCATTGAACCAAAAAAATTGGATCAAATTTCAGATTATAGAATTGGTATATAGTCAGCTAATG
Organism: Homo sapiens; assembly: GCF_000001405.40. Taxonomy (NCBI): domain Eukaryota; kingdom Metazoa; phylum Chordata; class Mammalia; order Primates; family Hominidae; genus Homo; species Homo sapiens. Next base: position 84,161,291 of record NC_000003.12, read on the forward strand.
ACTAATAAAACTGTAACCTCTTAATTTGAATAATGCAATGAATTTGTAAATTTTATTGAGTCAACGTAAACATCATTACATTTGACATGCTAGGGCCAAGAGCCTATGTCCATTTGTTTCACCTTCATTCATTATGCTAAACACTTTACTTTTGGCACAAGGTGCTCCAAAGTTGCTTCATACTTTTCCTGCTCCAGATCTACTCCGCCATTTTTTTCTGAGAAGCCTTGGATTTTTCATTGAGAATGACATTACCAAATCAAAATATGGGTGCTAGCTGTGCTCATTTCAACTTAAGTACCATTGTTTTTAGTCTCATTTGAAAAAAGAATTAGGTGATATTTAATTATTTACCAATTTGTTTTATTGTGATAAAATACACATGTAATTTACCATCTTAACCAACGTTAAGCATACAGATCAATTGTACCAACACGTTCATAATACGCAGCCATTAACATCATCTATCTCCATAACACTTTTTATCTTGTCAAACTGAAACTCTATGCACAATAAACAACACCTTCTCATTCCCCCCGGCCCCCAAGCCCTGGCATCCACCATTCTACTTTCTGTCTCTATTATTTTGACTACACCAAGTACCTCATGTAAGTGAAATCATACAGTACTTTTTTGTTTGACTGGCTTGTTTTCCTTAGCTAATGTCCTCAAAATGTATTCGTATTGTGGCACATGTCAGAATTTCATTCCTTTTAAAGATTATCTAATATTCTGCTATATTTATATACCACATTTTGCTTCTTCATTATCCATCAGTGGATGCTTAGCTTATTTACACATTTTAGTTAATGTGGATAATGCTGCTAAAAACACATATACACTTGTAACTCTTTGAGCTCTTTTTTCAATTATTTTGGTTATAGACCCAGAAGTGAAATTCCTGTGTCATACAGTAATTCTATTTTTATTTTTTTGAGAAACCGCCGTACTTGTTTTCCACAGCAGCGGTACCATTGTACATTCCTACCAACAGGACACAAAGTTTCCAATTATTTCACATCCTTGCCAACACGTGTTATTTTCTGTTGTTGTTGTTGTTTTAATAGTAGCTATCCTAATGACTGTGAAGTGGTATCTCCCTGTAGTTTTGATTTGCATTTTCCTCATCACTAGCGATGCTGAACTTTTTTTTAGGGGTCAATATATATTCAGTTCTGTTACGTTCGGAATGTTTGTGTCCTTCCCAAATACATACGTTGAAAAGCAGCCCCCAAGGTGATGGTATTAAGGGGTGAGGCCTTTGGGGTATGATTAGATCATGAAGGCAAAGCCCTTGTGAATGGGATTAATGCCCTAATAATAGATGTCCCAGAATGCTGCCCTTGCCCTTTCCACTATGTAAGGATGCAGCAAGAAGGCACTATCGACGAAGAATGGGTTAACAGACTCCAAATCTGCTGGTGCTTTGATCTGGGACTTTCTAACCTTCATATCTGTGAGAAATAAGTGTTTACTGTTTATAATCCACCAAGTTTATGGTGTTTTTGTTATAGCATCTTCTTTTGTTTGTTTTTTGAAACAAAATCTGCTGTGGAATCCAGTGGCACAATCTTGGCTCACTGCAAACTCCACCTCCCAGGTTCAAAGATTCTTGTGCTTCAGCCTCCGGAGCAGCTGGGATTACAGGCATGCACCACCACGCCCAGCTAATTTTTGTATTTTTGGTAGAGATGGGGTTTTGCCATGTTGTCCAGGTTGGTCTTGAACTCCTGGGCTCAGGTGATCCATCAACCTCAGCCTCCCAAAGTGCTGCGATTACAGACATGAACCACTGTGCTCAACCCGTTATAGCATCTTGAATGGACTAAGACATAGTCCTTTGCTCATTTGTAAATTGCGTTGTTTGTTTTTTGTTGCCAAGTGTTAGGAATCCTCTCTGTATTTTGATTATTAATCCCATATCACAGATACAATTTGCAAATATTTTCTTCTGTGGGTTGTTTTCTTACTCTCTTGATAGTGTCTTTTGATGCACAAATTTTGTTAATCATTAAATCCAATTTGTCTTTTTTTTCTTTTGTCACCTATAACTTGGTATCATATCAAAGAAATAATTAATCCACCATGAAGTTTTTGTCCTATGTTTTTTACTAAAAGTCTTATACTGCTAGGTTTTACATTTAGGTCTTTCATCCATTTTGAGTTAATTTTTGAATATAGTGTTAGATAAGGATCCAATTTTCTTCTTAATTGGTGGATATCCAGTTTTCCCAATACCATTTGTTGAAAAACTGTCCTTTCCCCATTGAATAATCTTCTAACCCTTGCCAAAAATCATTTTAACATATATGCAGGTATTTTGTGGCTTTCCATCTTATTCCATTACTTTCTATGTCTGTTTTTATGCCAGAACCACACTGTTTTGACCTGTTTTGTTTTTCCCTTTTAAGATTGTTTTGACTACTGAGGGTCCTGTAAGATTCCATGTAAACTTAAGACGGGTTTTTATTTCTTCAAAAATTATCATTGAAGTTTTGGTGGAGATTGTATTGAATCTATACATTGCTTTGGGTAGTATTGAAATCTTAATAATTTTGTCTTTTTATTCTTTAAGCATGGGGTAAGTTTTCATTTAATTAAAATTTTTAAAATCTGTTTTAACAATATTTTAACAATATTTTATAGTTTTACAGTACAAATCTTTCACATCTTGATTTAAGTTAATTCCTAAGTATTTTATTATTTTTTATGCAATTATAAATGTAATTGTTTTCATAATGTTATTTTAGATTTTTTCTTGTTATTGTATAGAGATGCAACTGATTTTTTGCATGCTGACTTTGTTTTCTGCTACTTTGTAGCATTTGTTAGTTCAAATAATTTTTTCCAGAAACTTTAGTTTTTTTTAATATACAAGATTTATTATTTCTGAAAAGAGATCATTTTATTTCTTCATTTCCAAGTTAGATGTATTTTATTTATTTTCCTCGTCTGGTTTTTCTGTCAGAATTTCTAGTACTATGTTGAATAGAAATGTTTTATCAGACAGCAAACATCCTTGCTTTTTCCCTAATCTTAGAGGAAAACTTTTTAATCTTCATCATTGAATATGATGTTTATGATAGGTTTTTCATATATTCATCTTATCAAGTTGAGGTAGTTTCCTTCTATTCCTAATTTGTTGACTGCTTTTATTTTTTGTATGAGAGAATGCTACATTTTGCCAATGCCTTTCCTGGGTCAATTAAGAGACTCAGGTGTGTTTATTTCCCCTTCATTATATGGTGCATTATATTGACTGATTTTCCTGTGTTGAAACATTCTTATATTCCATAGATAAGTTCCGCTTGGTCAGGGTGTATAATCCCTTAATATATGACTGATTTTGGTTTGGTAGTATTTTGTTTAGGATTTTACATCAATGACCGTAGAGGATATTAAACATTTGCTGTTGTTGAGATATCTATATATTCCTTATCTGGCTTTGCTTTCAGAAAAATGTTGACCTCACAAAATGAGTAAAAAAGTGTTTGTTCTTTTTTAATTTTTTAGAAAAGTATAAGAATGATTTGAGTTAGTTCTTTAAGTAATTGGTAAACTTCATCAATTAAGCCATCAGAACCATGGCTTTTCTTTGACAGGAGAGTTAAAATTACTGATTCAATCTTTTTACTATTTATACATCTATTTAAATTTTCTATTTCTTGATGATTTAATCTTTGTAGATTTTGTGTTTTAGGGATATGTGCATTTCACCTAAGCTATCCAGTTTGCTGGATTTATTGTTCTTTCTTATAATTTGTTATTTGGAAAACTGGGAATAAAGTACTTACATTCGCTTATAATTTTAGTAATTTGAGTCCTGCCTTTGTTTGTTCATGTATCTAAAAGTTTGTCAATTTTGTTGATCTTTCCAAATAAATAACTTTTTGTTTCATTGTTTTTTCTCTATTTTTATCTTCATTTTATAATTTATATCTCTCCCCATCTTTATTATATCCTTCCTTCTACCTTTGTGTTTAGTCATTTATATTTTTTGTAGTTCCTTAAATTGTAAAGTTGGGTTGTTGATTTGAGATCTTTCTTGTTTATCTGTTTGTATGTTTTGTGTAAGGATTTATAGCTAAAAATTTTTCCCTTAGCACTGCTTTGGCTATATCTCATATGTTTTGATATGTTGTGTTTTCATTTTTATTTATCTTGATGTGTATCTAATTTCCCCTTGTGCTTTCTTCTCTGACTCATTTTGTGAATGTTTCTTCTCTGACTCATTTTGTGAATGTTCTGTTTTTTTAAATTTATTGACCTACTATGTTTATTTTATTAAGTTTAATTTATTATGTTTAATTTATTAAGACCTAATACATGCTCAATCCTCTGAAATATCCATGTGCACTTGATGAGAATGTGTATGTTGTGATGTTGGGTACAGTGTTTTATAAATGCCTCATAGATCTAGTTGGTTGATTATGTGGTTTCAGTCCTCTATTTCCTTACTTATCTGCAGTCTGGTTGTCCTATCCAGTAAGGAGGGTGGGGTATTGAAATCTACAACTATTACTGTGTAAGTGTAAGTGTCTATTTCTCTCTTTAATTCTATCAGTTTTTGCTTCATATATTTTGATGGTTTCTTATTATGTCAATGTTTATAATTATTATAGTTACTGCTATATTACAATTTAATTAATATATAATAATACATTAATTATAATATGTTACATTGTCTTTTGTAAGCTTTATTGATTTAAAGTCTACTTTTTTTCAGACATTAGTATAGCCACATCTGTTCTCTTTTGGTAACTATTTCCATGAAATATTTTTTACCAACCTTTTAACTTGCAATCTATTTACAAGTTTATATCTAATGTGAATTTCCTATAAACAGCACATAATTTGACCTTTTTTTGTCTTTTGATTAAAGAGTTTAATTCATTTACGTTTAAAATGATTCCAGATAAAAGGAGACTTACTTCTGTCATTTTGCTATTTGTTTTTGAGATTCCTTATAGCTTTTTTTTTGTCCCTCAGTTCCTGTATTGCTGCATTATGGTCTTCTTTTTATATATGTTTTTTGTACTAAAGCCATTCAATTTTCTTATTTCCTTTTGTGTGTATCCTACAACTATTGTATTTGTAGTTATCATGAAGTTCAAACTGAACATCCTCAAGTTATAATACTATAATTTGAATTCATAACAACTTCAATAACATGCAAAATTTCCTATTCTTTAATAGCTCCATCTTCACCCTGTAAAATTGTTAATATGAGAAAATTCATTTTATATATTTTTGTTCAAAAACATAAACTAATAAATCTTTTAAATGCATTAGTCTTTTAAATTATGTAGAAAACCCAATGTAGAGTTATAAACTAAAATAAGAATTACAGTAGATTTTATAAGAATAATTGTTTTATTTGTACATCCATTTTTCTCATAAGTCATGTAGAACAAAAATGGAGATGCAGGTTATTTTTATAATAATACTAGTTTTTATACTTTTCCATATGTTTACCTATATTGAAATCTTTATTTCTTTATGCAGCTTCCAGTTACTGTATAATGTCCTTTTATTTCACCCTACAGAGCTCCCTGAGCATTTTTTTGTAGGTCAGGTCTAGTGATAACAAACTCCCTCATCTTTTATTTATCTGTGAATGTCTTAATTTCTCTATCACTTTTGAAGGATAATTTTACTGGGTATAGATTCATTGTTTGCCAGGTTTCTATTTTACCACTTTTGCTCTGTCAGACCACTACTTGTGGACTCCAAATTTTCTAAGAAATCTCCTGATCTTATTAAAAACTGCTTGTATATGATAAGTTGCATGTTGCTTTTTGTAGTCAATGTTCTTTCTTCGTGCTAGGCTTTTGAAAGTTTGCTTATAGTGTATCTAGGTGTAGGTCTCTTTGACTTCATCTTACTTGGAGTTGGTTGAGCTTTTTTGGTGTTTACATTCATGTATTTCGTCAAATTGGGGAAGTTTTAAGCAATTCTTTCTTCAAATATTCTGTATGCTCCCTTATCTCTATCCTTCTTCTAGACCTATCACAAGCCATAAGTTGGTCTGTTTGATGGTGTCACACAGGTCTCTTAGGCTCTATTCACTTTTCTTCAATTCTTTTAAAATTTTATGTTCCTCAGACATGCTAATTTCCACTTCAACTTCACTGATATATTCTTCTGCCTACTCAAATCTGCTTTTAGTGTCTGTATTGATTTTTTTATTTAAGTTATTCTCCTTTTCAGCTCCAAAATTTCTTTTTGTTGGTGTTCCATTTTAGCTTTTCTCTTTATTGATATTTGTATTTGGTTTATGCAATGTTTATTTTATCCTTTCCATATCTTTAGTTTTGAAAGCATCATTAAGGCAGTTGTTTTAAAGTCTGTGTTGTAGACTCATCATCATATCTTTTTTAGGACACTTTCTGCTTATCTATTTCTTTTTCTTGAAATGGGCCATGCTTCCCTGTTTTTTTGTATGGCTCGTAATTTTTTGTTGAAAACTGGACACTTAATAATGTGCTAACTCTGGAAATAAGATTATCTTCCTTTCCAAGGATTTGATTTTTCAGGTCTTTTCATGAAAAGGTTTTAAGATTTTTAAGCTTTTCCCTAGTCATATTCAGTAACATTCTAATTTTCACTGTGTATACATTTGTTTTTTAAATGTCCTAGGCTTTAATATCAGGATCCCAAAAAGGGTGGGTGGAGGAGAAAACTAATGGAGAAGTTATGGCACCAGCTCTTCCAATATTCTGGAAGTCACTTCTGCTGGAGGGAGAAGGTTTTACAATAATGAGGGGAGATACCACCACAATAGCCATTTGCCTTTCTGTCCACAACTTTGTGATTGGAAGCAACAATCAGTGATCAGGATACAAATCCCTGATTTTGGGAAGACAGTGCCTTTTGGCCCACCCTGGCTCCCACAAGCTGCATTCCTTTGATTTGAAGAACACTTGTACAGCTGTCTGCCTTAGGGGTGGTGAATGTATACCTGTTAATGTGCTAAGATATAAACTGACCAAAGCTAACTTTGATTTATCATATAAGCCTTCCCCTAGAAGTTGTAAGCCCCAGAATTCCAAAATTGTCACATTAAACAATTTCTGCCAATGCAATTATTTTCTAGGTGGAGGAACAGATGTCTGATATTTCCTACTCTGTTATCCTCCCAGAATCCCCTCTAGATAGTATATTTTTAAAAGCAGTATTGATGTTGGCCTTTTTGTGTTTGTGATTAAAAGTAAAGAATTGTTGTCTGAAGTTGTTTGGCTTTATACTTATGTCTCTTTTCTCTTAAATAGAAAATATTTTATGTTGTAGCATTAGTATATTTACTTGTTTTGATGCTACTATAAATTAATGAACATTAAGAAGAAATGGAACACAATAATAGTCAAACCGTGATTAAGAGTGGGAATTTTAGCAAATTAATCTATGCCCATATGCATCTCTATTCATACAAATACTATGCATATATATGCATACACAATTTTTGTGTCTTCGTTGTATATAAGAAAATTCAAACAAATGTTATAAAATAGATACACCAATTGTGTTGCAATAGTAAAATATGTATAATACAATCGTTTTAATAACAGTCATATTTTTCATATGAGTAAGTCTCAAAAACATAATGTTGAGTAAAAAAGCAAGTAGCAGAATAATAGGATATAATTTCATTTGAATAAAATAGAAAAAAAACATGCTATGTATGGTTCATAAATATAATATTCCTATCTCAAGTAGGAGTATTAAATTATCTTGATATAATAGTTACCTTTATGTAAGAATGAAAATGGCTTTACTGGTTATTAGACAAGAATGCATATTTTTTATATGTAGTTTATACACTTATTCAGACGTTCATCCAATAATGTTTATTGGGAGCTAAAATGCTCATCTTGGAAGTATAATGGTTTTCAAAGAAATGTGTTAAATTTTAATCTTCTAGGGTAAATATAGACATTAATACTATTGATGATACAATTGATAAATGTCTCAGTAGTGACTAACATAGAAGATCATTAAAGAGAATACCACGCATCCTCAAATATTCAAGAAAGGACTTAGAAAATAAGGAACATCTATGCTGAAACCAAGAATTAATAAATTAATGAAGATGAAGAAACAATTTCCCATCAGAAAGCAGCATGAACAAAAATCATAATGTCAAAGAGAACATCAATGCATGGAGGCAAGCATTTTTATACAGATTAATTATCAAGCAGGAAAATTCGTGGTGGGATACTTGAACATACTAATTTAAATAATTAAAGAAAAAGAAATAATTTGAGATTGTTGAAAAGGAACTTTGAAGAAAGTACTTTTATGTGGTTGAGATCATTGATACAATAATTAGTTCCTCAGAAAAACAAATCTAGTATTTACCCAGATAAACAAGAAAAGAAAATGCAATAAAGCACAACATTAGGATTGAGAAAAATGATTTTTAAAATAGTGTTTTATATAATTTAAATCTTACTTGATGCTTCTCAGATAAAAGTTGTATGTTCGAATAGGTTTCTGCCATACTGTATACTATATTTTTGAATAATCACAACGTGCATTCTCATATTAAAAGCTCTGAAGATACTTGGTGATAAAGTATATATAATAGCACATATTTGTAATGTTTATATGTTCAATTATGAAACATTACATGATTATTTGTCTTTCTGTATGTGTTCAGATAAACTAGCTCATCAGACAATAAATATAGCAGCTATAAATAATAAAGTATTGTTCCAGTCTCCTTACTTCTTAATTTAGCAACGTACAAGTTATTGTCCCATGACAAAGAATAATAAGATGCCCAGAAACCAGAGAGCGAGTAAGGCAGAGAAGGATTTACTAAGTGAGAGAAAACTCTCAGTAGCAAGAGAGGACCCAAAAATGTTGTCAAAAAAGGTGCTGTGTTCTGAGACTTTAATGTGGCAGAAACAAGGAAGTCTTCCATGGATTCTGCCTTAATGGGAGGGATGAAATTCCCCCCAGGGTATTGCATCTGCACGTGCCTGGGGTTGGCCATAGTGACTCCATCTTGGTTATTACCCCTGATTGCCTAAGCAAAACGCATGGGAGCACTAAAACCACAATGCTAATGGTATTATAATTTCAGGGTCATTTTAGGATGCCTTTGGCCTGAAATTCCCTTCTGAGAAAGCATCTGGGTATAAGAGGAAGTTTTTAACCACATTTCACCCTGCTAGCTACATAACAGGGGTGGTGCAGGTGCAGTCTTATAGGCGTTGTCCCTCTCCCAAATCCCTCCCTCTCTATTTGCCTAACCAGCCCCTACCTGCCTCCTCTCTTAGTATTATCTCTACCAATGGGACTTGTAAAAAACATCAGATGTGGTTAGAGTGAATTAGAAGCCATATAGGCTTCAGTGGCAAAAATCAGGAAAAGTTCAGTACAAACTACTTTTGGCAAAGGTACATATGAGTACATATTTAAGAATATGCATTAGAAACATTAATAGACATCTTCTACAGTAAGAAAGAACAAGAGAAGTAAAGAAAAATGAGAATAAGTCAATTAATGAATAAATAAATGTATCAATAAAACAGGAGAAATTGAAGAGAATGATGATAGTAATATATGAGCACTAAGGTTCAATTAGCTCATTGCTGCATCTGAGGGCCAAAATAAAGGAGAAGGAGGAAGAAATAAGAAGAAGGAGAAGAAGAGCATGAGGAGAAGGAGGAAGAGGAAGAGGAAGAGGAAGAAAAATGAAAAGAAGAAAAGGAAAATTAACATTAGCAGTGAGTAAAAGAAATACTAATAATAAAAATATTGCATGTGCATCTTACAGGTTGTCTGCATAGGTAATAAAGAAAAAATAACATATATATGTGTATATATACACGTATACATATAGATGTGTATATACACATATGTGTATATATACATATAGATGTGTATATACACACATATGTGTATATATACACATATATGTGTACATATACATATACATATATGTATACGTATACATATACATATACGTATGTGTGCATAAACACATATGTGTATATGCACATATACATATGTGTGCATAAACACATATGTGTATGTGTACATATACATGTGTGTGTACAAATACATGTGTGTATATGTACATATGTGTATATGCACATATACATATGTGTGTGCATATACATATGTGTATAAGTACATATATGTGTGCACATACGTATGCATGTGTGTGCACATATGTGTACATGTACATATGCATATGTGTGTACATGTACATATACATATATGTGTACATATGCATATGTGTGTACATGTACATATACATATATGTGTACATATACATATATGTGTACATGTACATATACTTATATGTGTATATACATATACATATATGTGTACATATACATATACGTGTATATATACATATACATATATACGTGTATATATACATATACATATATACGTGTATATATACATATACATATATAGAGAGATAGATAAATATATGTAGAATATATCTGTATATATACATTTATATTTATATTTATTTATTTTTATGTTTATATTTATAAACATATATATTTATAAACATACATTTATGTTTATGTTTATTTTTTATGAACATAAAAAAATCCCTAATATATATGTTTAGTTCAATATGGATTTTTTTTATATCCTAAGAATAAATATAGTCTTATAAGTTTTTATATTTATATTCATATTATATATATAAATCCAGATAAAAAGACAAAACATTACTTAATTTAAAACTCTGAAAAATAAAGCAACAGAATAATCCTGGGATAAAGCATAAGTATACATGTAAACAAATGATTTATAAAAATGGAATTATTAAATTATAACTAAAAGTAGATATTTGTTTCTTTAAAAACTAAATACATATGCAGAGGGTTAACTGAATTAAAATAAATAAATAAGGTATAAGCCACAATATTATAAGTATATAGGTCAAAGAAGTACATGTAATACGCTTATGAATTTGAAGATTTTACAAAATACAAAACATAACACCTTGATCCCAAGGAAGCCAGGAAACTCACAGTATTCAATTACTATGACAGTAAAAATAAAAATCATCAAAGTGTTGACACTTCCAAAACCAGCTGCCCATCTAGTTCCCTATATAAATCCTATCAAACATACAGGATGCAGTCTTTGACAGCTGTTTAAATTGATACAAACCATACAGACATAAATCCTTTATATTAAGTCTGAACAGCACAGATACCAAGATCTGATGAAGTACACAAAGGCAAATGACATAAAAATCTTTTTTTGAATATTGAAGCTGAAAAGGTCTAGAAAATTCTAGCAAAGTTTAGCAGTATATTAAAATAATAATATATTTTGACCAATTATGGTTTATTGTAAGAATTAAAGGATATATTAATATTTGAAATCCAATTAATGTCATTTAATGTATTAATGGTTTTAAAAATTAAAATTGATATTTGTAATGTTGAAGAGACTTTCAATAAAATTCAAGATGCATTGATCACAAGAAAAAATCACACTGAAAATCCTTCTCTGAAAAAGCATTATCATACAAATAAACTATGTATCTACACATACACATATAACATATAAGCAGGCACATTACTCTAGAATTGTGGTGTAATGTTTTCCAATATAAGTGAACACTGTTAAATTTCAGCACTTTCAGAACAATACAATTTTACGCATAAGTTTATGTATGTAGAGTCTGGAAGGATTTACATCAACTTTTAACAGTTGCAGCCTCTAAGGGAAAAATTGGAGATAGACCATTAAGGCACTATATTAAGTTTTACTTCAGATTGTGGAAAATACTTCTTGTTTGTTTGCTTTTTTTTTTTTTTTTTTTTTGCTTGTTTGATGTTTTTGAGCTTAGATATAAATTTCATTCGGATCTTAAAAGTTAAAAGAAGCAACGAAATGATAGAACTTATAACAAAGAAAAATATTGTCTTCATTTATACAAAATTTGTCTTCATTTATACAACACTAACAGTAAAAATGTCTGTGTTAAGAGCTTTTAAAAGTTAACAGAAAGGCATAAGAAAAGTAATTGTATCCATGACTTCAAAATAATAGTACAAATAATTTTGATTTTACTGGACTGTTGACACCTAATATGATGACCAACAGCTTGACAGGATCATGATTCAGGGAATCTTCAATATAAGCTGTCAAAGATGAGAAGCTTCCTTGAACATTCCAGCTAGTGACCCTTCAATTCCAATGGAATGACTGACATACAACAGTTTGTCTATAATATCTTACAATATGTTTTTTCTATTGTTGTACATTTATCAAAACTACCTGGCAGCCTTCCTATAATCAAGTCAGCAGTTACATGTTATTTGAAATGTGATGTTGATAGCTAGAAATACAAGCTAAGAATTAATCACAATTTTCTCTTTCATTCTTAGTTGATAAAACTATGTATTTAATAAAAGAAAGTTCTTAAGGGAAATAAAGCACATAAAAATAAATCTCAAACAGGTTTTTTTAAACAGAGGTTCTTAGATGGGTTTCAGGTAAGTCCTCAAATCCTCAAATTTTGCATGTATTATTTTATACATATGTTTATTGTTCTAATAAAGAATTTCATTAACTTCCATCAGATTTTATCTGTGTATTTATCAGAAGTAATGTAAGAATATATGTAAGCAAATCAAACACTTTAACATAAGCTTTAGATTGTGTAATTTGATGTGTGTGTGTGTGTGTACAGAGAGAGAGAAAGAAGGACAGACGTGTATATAATTGACATTGCTGCTGTTCCTTTGAAGTTTTTAACTACCAAATACATGTAGTGAATTATGTGAACATTTAAAAACTATTTATCTGTTAAGAATTGGTGTGGGGAGAATCTTAACCATGAATGCTATTTATTAAATTGAGCATTTATATGAAGATACAGCAGGGCAACTGCAAAGACATTTCTGAAGTTGAAAAAGGTGAGACTACTTTCTATACTGATTATTGAGACTTCTTTTAAAGCCTTGTAAATTAATACAGTGTGGTCTTAAGGCAAAAATGGGAAAATACATCCTCTGAACAACAACAAAAAAACAAAATGGCCAAAACTGGAGCCACACATAAATGAACACTTGATTTATGGCAATGTTGCAGAGCATTGGTGAAAAGAGACTCTTAAATGACCAATGCTGAGTCAGTCATATATATATGTGGAAACAACGAAAGAATCTCTAAACACAAATTTACCTTCTATACACAAATTTAATTCCAGATGGATTTTATATCTGATTTTCAATGGTAAAACAGTAAAGATTTTGCAAGGAAACATATGAGCATAACTTCTTGCGCTTTGAATAGGTAAGCTATAATGAACAGGGCACAGTAAGTACAAACCATCAAAGATAACAAAACAAAAGAAAATCAGATTGACCACATGACCACTTTTCTGTCCAGACAGAAAATTTTCTCAGAAGTCATGTTTATACTTGAAATTTTACATTCTCACTTCTTCTCTCTCCAACCTCTTCCCATTGGTTGTCGTCCCACACAACTTCTCTAAAACAACTTTAGTCAAAGTGACTATTGACTTTCATCTTCACAAGCCAATATTTATTTCCAGTCCTTACCTTGTATTAAGGAGCATTTGATACATTTTGCCACTTACTCCAAGATAAAACGTGTAATTCTCTGGGGTTCCAAGACTCTCTACTTTCTTGATATTCCCATTACCCCATGTCAGCTTTTCCCCAAGGGTCTTGCTTGGATGATTTCACTGCTCCTGCTATAACATTACAATCTATAACATTAGAATATATCATGACTATAACCTGGATTTCTTTCTTATGTATTTTCTCTGAGTGGTAAATGAAGTCTCATGATTTTAAAAACAACTATAGGCTGTTTATCTTCAAAAACATTTCTCTAGTTCAGGGCTATTCCCTGATATTCAGACTCATATTTTATCACCTGGGCATCACAGTCTGTATCCCTAATATGCATCTCAAACTTAACATGATTGAAACAAAACTTCTCATTCACTTCATGTGCCACCATGCAAAATCCACTCCTTCCCTAGCTATCTCACCTAAATATTTCCCTAGACTGGGAATATTCCTTGAAGATTCCTTTTGCTTTAACCCTTATATCAGGCTGGCACAAAAGTAATTGCTGTTTTTGCCATTACTTTTAATCCATCTTTGAGCCCTCTCAGCATTGCTTCCAAAACATAATAGAACTTTAATTTTTCTTATCCCCCACTGAAATATTTGTATCCCAAGACAAACATCTCTGTCTGAATTACTGAGACATCTTCCTACACTCTGTCACTATTTAAATGATTGATCTTGAATTTGAATGCTAACCTCTGTAATGAAGCTGGGGAATTTGTGTGGACGATTTGCTTTCTAGCTTGCGTAACTCTTTCTCCCTCTCGTTCAGGGGTGCCAATGAGTCATAAGTTTGTTCTCTTTACATAATACTATAATTCTCAGAGCTTTACTTCACTTTTTCAAGTTATTGTTTCCTTATTTTTGCCTGACTGAGTTGATTCGAAGAACCGGTGTTCAGGATCTGAGATTCTTGCCTCAGCTTGGTTTATTCTGGTTTTAATGCCTCTGACTATACTATACAATTCTTGTAGTGAGTTTTTCAGCTCTATCAGATTAAATTTGGCTCTTTCTTAAAATGGCTATTTCATCTTTCACCTCTTGAATCTTTGTTCTGCATATTGACAATCTTCATTGCCATCCAGATTCTGAATTCTCTGTCATTTCAGCCATGTATAGGAAAAATCAATATTGTTAAAAATGGCCATACTGCCCAAAGCAATTATAGATACAATGCCTTTTCTGTCAAATTATCAACATCATTTTTCACAGAATTAGAAAAATTTATTCTAAAATTCACATGGCACCAAAAAAGGGCCCAAGTAGCCAAATCAATCCTAAGCAAAGAGAAAAAAGCTGGACACAACACACTACCTGACTTCAAACTACACTTAAAAGCTACAGTAACAAAAACAACATGGTACTGGTACAAAAATGGACACATAGGCAAATGGAACAGGTTAGAGAAACCAAAAATTAAGCCATATATCTCCAACCGTCTGATGTTCAACACAGTCAACAAACAGTAGCAAGCAATGAGGAAAAGACTACCCTATTCAATAAATAGTGCTGGGAAAACTGGCTAGCCATATGCAGAAAGTGGACCCCTTCCTTTCACCACATACAAAAATCAACTCAGTATGGATTAAATACATAAATATAAAACCTGAAGCTATAAAAATGCTAGAATAAAACTTGTGAAATACCATTCTGGACATTGATCTTGGCAAAGATTTCATGATAAAGACTCCAAAAGCAATTACAAAATTACAATTACAATTAAAAAGCAATTTCCTAATTGAACTAAAAAAGGTCTGCACAGCAAAAGAAAATATCAAAATATTATACAGACAACCTATAGAATAAAAGACAATACTTATTTCCAAACTATGCATTCAACAACGGTCTAATATCCAGAATCCACAAGGAACTTAAACAAACCAACAAGCAAAAAACAAACAACTTCATTAAAAAAGTGTGCAAAGAACCTGAACAGGCACTTCTCAAAAGAAGACATACATATAGATGACAAACATGAGAAACTGCTCAACATCACAAATTATTAGAGAAAGGTAAATCAAAACCATAATGAGTTATCATCCCACACCAGTCAGAAGAGTTATTATTAAAAGGTCAAAAAACAACAGATATTGGTGAGGTTGCAGAGAAAAAAGAATGCTTATACACTGTTTATGGGAATGTAAACTAGTTCAACAACTGTAGAAACTTGTTTGAGGATTTCTCAAAGAACTTAAAACAGAACTGCCATTCAATACAGGAATCATATTACTGAGTATATATCCAAAAGGATATAAATCAGTATCCCTAAAGACTCATGATAGTGTATGTTCATTGCAGCCCTTTTCACAATAGCAAATACATGGAATCATCATTGATGCCCATCAACAGTGGGCCAGATAAAAAAAAATATGGTACATATACACCATGGAATACTTTGTAGTCATAAAAAGAATAAAATCATATCCTTTGCAACAATGTGGATGCAGCTAAAGGCCACTACCCTAAGCTAATTAATGCAGAAACAGAAAACCATATAACACATGTTGTCACTTATAAGTGTTAACATGTGGTGCACATGGTGTCACTTATAAGTGTTAACATGTGGTGCACATGGTAGCTAAACATTGAGTATACATAGTCACATAGATGGAACAATAAACATAGGGGTCTAATTGAGGGCAGAGAGTAGGAGGAAGGTGAGGGTTGGAAAACTACATTTCCAATTGGGTCCTATGCTCGCTATCTAGGTGGCAAAATAATTTGTACACCAAACCTCAGCAACGCAGAATTTGCCCATGTAACAAACCTGCACATTTTATACCCCTAGAACCCAAAATAAAATTTGGAAAAAATGCAGTCAAAAGATTTTTTACTTTTTTATCAAAAGATAAAAAGTAACAAATACTAGGAAGGATGCAGAGAAAGGGTAACTCTTATACCATGTTGTTGAGAATATAAATTAGTACAGCCATATAAAGAACAAAATGGAGCTTCCTCAGAAAATTAAAAACAAAACTACCATATGATCCAACAATCTCACTACTGGTTATATATCCAAAGGATATAACATCTGTATGTTGAAGATATACCTGTACCCCACAATATTGCAGCAGTAGCCAAGATACAAGATCAAATTAAGTGTCTATCAATGAATGAACAAAGAAAATGAAATGTGGTATATATACACAGTGAAATACTATTTAGCTATAAAAAAAGAATAAAATTGTGTCAATTGTGACAATATGGATGAACCTAAAAAATATTATGTTAAATGAAATCAATCAAGTACAGAAGGATAAATATGGCATAATCTCACTTACAGGTAGAACATAAGAATGTTTATCTCTTAGAAGTAGAGAGTAGAATAGTGATTACCAGAGGCTAGAAAAAGTAGAGAGAGATGTGGAGACATTGGTCAACTGGTATAAAGAGCGGGACAGAGGAGACATTGGTCAACTGGAATAAAGTTAAAATTAGATAGGAGACAGAAGTTCCAGCATTGTATTGCACAATAGGATGACTACAGTAAATAATAACATATTGTATACTTCATAATCTTTAGAAGAAAGAATTTTGAATGTCCTTACCACAAAGAAATGACAAAAGTTTGAAGTCATGGCTATTTTTATTATCCTGATTTGATCAGTACACAATGTATGTAAACATCACACTGTACCCCATACATGTCAAAATATCACCCTGTACCCATAAATATGGAAAATTATCATGTGTCATAAAAACAAAATGAAACTTGTAAAATTGTGGTAAATCCACAGGCTAAATAAATAAATTTCAATATCTGTACCTGTAACACGATTCTAGGAATTGGACTTCATTATGAATTATGACATGGAAGAAAACCACTTTCCTACTGGACATTATTATTTTTAAGTAATAATTATTACTCCTATTATGTAATTATGTGTATATATTTTTTATTTTGTTTTATTTTGTGTTTTTTGAGACGAAGTCTTGCTCTTGTCCCTCAGGCTGGAGTGCGATGGCGTGATCTCAGCTCACTGCAACTTCTGCCTCCCAGGTTCAAGTGGTTCTCCTGCCTCAGCCTCCCAAGTAGCTGGGACTACAGGCGCCTGACACCATGCCTGGCTAGTTTTGGTATTTTTAGTAGAGACGAGGTTTCACCATGTTGGCCAGGCTGGTCTCGACCTCCTGACCTCAGGTGATCCACCCGCCTTGGCCTCCCAAAGTGCTAGGATTACAAGCATGAGCCACTGTGCCCAGCCTTTTGTTTTGTTTTGTTTTGTTTTTGTTGTTTTGTTTTTTAGATGGAGTTTCACTCTTGTTGCTCAGGCTGGAGTGCAATGGCGCGATCTCAGCCCACTGCAACCTCCGCCTCCCGGGTTCAAGTGATTCTCCTGCCTCAGCCTCCAGAGTAGCTGGAATTATAGGCATGCACCACCATGCCCAGCTAATTTTGTATTTTTAGTAGAGACGGGGTTTCTCCGTTTTGGTCAGGCTGGTCTTGAACTGCCGACCTCAGGTGATCCGCCTGCCTTGGCCTCCCAAAGTGCTGGGATTACACGTGTGAGACACCACGCCCGGCCCAATATATTTTAATTTTTATAGCTACATAATAGTTGTGCATATTTATGGAGTACCTGTGATATTTTGATAAAAGCATACAATTTGTAATGACAAAATTAGAGTAACTGGGATATTCATCATCTGAAACATTTTTGTGTGTGTTAAGAACATTGCAATTTCACTCTTCTAGTTATTTTGAAATATACAACAAATTATTGTTAACTATAGTCACCCTATTGTACTACCAAATATTAGATCTTACTGCTTCTATTTAACAGTGTTTTTGTACACATTAGCCAACACTTGTCTATCCTCCTCTTCCCACTACACTAGGGTATGCTTTTTTACAAGTAACATAGTTATTTGTTTCTTCTTACAGTAGCTAGTCTACCCTAACCAATACAAAAATGAGTACACTTTAGTAGGGTTCTATAACAAATATTGGTATACACATGTAGTCCTGGCTTAGTAGCGCATAGCCAGGTTATGGGCAGTGGGTGGGTGTAGCAGATGTAGCAGGCTGGAAAGCTAGTGTTTCACCCTATGCTGTGGAAAACTATTGCTTGTTTTAATTTGGAAGGCAGATCACATACTTAACAACACCGAAAGTCTAGCCAAATCAGTTGAAAAGATCAAACATATTAGCATGTATATGCTACTCCTTGCCACTTAAAACAAAGTATTATAAGAGTTAAATAATTATAAGTATGATAACAACATCAGTAACAATTGGTTGGCTAACAAGAAGAAATCGGAGAAAATAGAGAAAATCCAGAATAATTTGGTGACTCTATGGCTACTGACACAAGGGAATAACTGAAATCAAAAATGATCAGAAGTCTTCAGGTTCTTGAGGAAATTATACTGCAAACTGACTACAAATGTCCTGAAAGCTTCTGGTACCAATCAGTCTTTGAAACAAACCCCAGTATTGGAAAGTTGTACCAAGAGGAAGCAGTCTTTAAAGTTACAACACCCCATTTAGATTATTAACTGAAATACCCATTTCAGATGTTATTGTCGAGGATATAGGACAAGTAAAAATTTTGCAGAGGGCAAATCATGAGCCATATAAACAATGTTCAAGAAAATTCCTGCCAAGGAGAACTTTGGTCTATTCAAGAAAATTTCTTAACTACTCAGATCAAGGTGTCTTGACTATACGACCCATGTGAGTTTCATCAGTAACTGCTCTGAAAGAGGAAGGGCTGTTTTCCAGGCTTCCCTTTTTGATGGTACTTTTTATTATGTTCTATCTCTCCTTGCTCTGCCTTTGTATATTGTGTGTTTGGTGGAAAGGAGAAACATTATAACGTGCTTTTTCTTTTGTAAGGTCTCTGGGCCACAGGCAACCCACTTGGCCTGGTGGAGAGAACTGAATGTTGCCCACAGGTCCTGAACTTTCAGCTGAATATAGTAACTGAGTGAGTTTTGGATTGTCAACGTTAAGAAAACATTGCATTCATTTTGTGAGACAAAGACTGTTCCTACATATTTCATGATCAAAGGAGAACACGTACGGATGGATAACGTCCACCAAAAGCTGTTCTCTTCTTCATGGACTCATGGCTAAGAGACATCTGCTAGTCTCTCTCATATCTAGGTGTAGCCATAACTTATCTTCAGTAGGATATTAACAGAAGGTTTGAGTGCCCTTTCCATGTCAGACTTTACCTATTGAGCTTGCCCTCTGTATACCTTCTTTATCTTCCACTATCAATGTGCTGGAATTTAACATAGAAACCAGTTGATAAAGCTGGCTGAACCATTTCAAGCTGTTCCCGTAGCCTATCAACACCCAACCTAAACAATTACTCTGGCTGGGTTCAGTGGCTCACGCCTGTAATCCCAGAACTTTAGGAGGCTGAGGTGGTCAGTATGCTTGAGCTCAGGAGTTCAAGATCAGTCTGGGCAACATGGTGAAACCCTTCTCTAAAACATATACAAAAATTAATCAGGCACGGTGTCAAGTGCCTGTAGTCCTAGCTACTCGGGAGGCTGAAGTGGAAGGTTGGCTTGATCCCAGGAGGTCAAGGTTGCCGTGAGCCAAGATTGTGCCACTGCACTCCAGTCTGCACAAGACAGCCAGAACCTGTCTGACAAAAAAAAAAAGAAAAAACAAAAAAGAAAAATTACTCTGTAATTTTTTGTTGAGCCCTTTGGCCTACCTCAAATAATATAGAGTGCAAAGTTTATCAGCAATTTATCATGTTTTTGTATAATAAAACTGCAAAGAGAATAAAATCTCTGGCCTCTTATTCCTTCTCTTCCCACTACTTTCCATGTGAGGAATAGTAACTTATCTAAATGGTGAGTTTGGAAAAGAAAACCACATATACTTGCCTCAACTCTCATTATCCTTTGATTAATTTACCTACCTTAGAGAGAACACCCATTGCTGTAATATTTAAATTAGAAAAACACACTCTACTCCTAATTTCTGCAAATTTCAAGTAGAATTAATTCAGGGCAATGTTAGCAAGTTGTGTGGCTGCATACCCAAACAAGCCAAGTTCTCCAAAAATAGCCTTTATTGATAATAAGATCTTCATTACGATCTTCATTTATGTGAGTCCTTTGGCTACTTTTCAAATAACATTGGACTTGGGTAGAAACTTACAGTGAGCTATTTCTCAACATCTCTAAGAATAGCCTAAAGTTAAAACAAAACAAAATAAAACTTTATTTGTATATTTATTTACTGAAGTAACCAAGTGCTCTTCCAAAACTTTTTTTTTGTTCCTCTTCTGTCTCAGTCCAGCACTTTTACCACCCATTTAAGTAATCTAATTACACCTCTTAAGTAATCTTCAACTTGTATTTAGCATGATGGAATTTATAAACCAGCTCTATATTTGAAGTACATTGGGACATAAGCATAGGTCTTTATCTTTCACAACATCAAAATGAAATTTCAACCAGGTTATTCTCAGGTGTGTATGATTCTTACCCACTTGTCAATTTGAAAATATATGTAATAAAATGATTCCATTTAGTATGTAATATCACGATCAGGATGGCACAGTAGTTTATGACAGAAACATCTACAAAAAATACTGCAAATGTAGTGGAGAATTTCTGGCAGTTTGGGAGAGCAAAAAAAAAATTTTTAGACAAGTTCAGCCCTATATTCTCAAAATATGCCGAAGGTATATGAAGTTATCTATTTAGAATATATCTAAAAATATGCCTAAATTATTATGATGAATATACCCTCTCTGATCCTATTTGCCCTATTTTAATAGGATGTTAAGACTGATGTGGGTTTCATGGAACTGGTAAATTTTACCTAAATAAATTAAGCACACCAAGAAAAAAAATCAAAGAAGGTCAATAAAATGTTTGACACAGACAAATTCCTTTTTAAGTCTTCCCCACAAAACATCTACAATACTATTTTATAGAGAAAACATAACTAATATTTAAAAGCCAAGTGCTTTAGATATAGTGTGTAATTTAAGATTTAAAACTCACAGCAAAGCACTATGTCTACATAGAGGAAGTTTTAAGAGAGAGACAGAAAATCGAGAGAGAGAGAGAGAGAACCAGACTACCAGATTTTCACACCCAGGAGAGCTGAGTCTATGGCCCATAATGTAATTCATATGCTACTGTTAACTCCACGCTTAAAAGACTTAAGACTTTTCATTTGTACTTCAGGAGCACCGTGATGTAAAGCACAGGAGTAGAGTGAAACAAGTTGTTTGGGTTTGGAAGCTAACACAACACTTGCTGTCATTCTGAGCGCAATAAATAATCTGCTCAAGACTCCTCCTTTGTAAAATGGCGATAATGTCAGTCCATGCATCAAAAAGAGTTGTGAACACTGTATTTCGCTTAGTGGTTCTCAAACTTTATCTTGCATCAGAGTCAGCCTGAGTTCTTATGCAACAGGGAAAGTAAGGTCTGAGATTTTGCATTTCTTTCTTCTTCTTCTTTTTTTTTTTTTTTTGTTGAGACGGAGTCTCGCTTTGTCGCCCAGGCTGGAGTGCAGTGGCACCATCTCGGTTCACTGCAACCTCCGCCTCCCGCGTTCAAGCCATTCTCCTGCCTCAACCTCGGGAGTAGCTGGGACTACAGGCGCCCGCTACCACGTCCGGCTAATTTTTTTGTATTTTTAGTAGAGACGGGGTTTCACTGTGTTAGCCAGGATGGTCTCGATATCCTGACCTTGTGATCCACCCACCTCAGCCCCCAAAGTTCTGGGATTACAGGTGTGAGCCACCACACTCAGCCGAGATTTTGCATTTCTAAGTTCTCATTGATGCTAACGTTGCTAATCTAGAAACCGCATTTTGAGAACCACTATATAAACTAATGTTATAAAGAATTAGCAGATTGACTTTATAAGTGTCCAATATGCTTTGGCTGTTAATTTTCTTAGTGTTTTTTTTTTTCAATCTTCATTATAGTAAAAATTTAATATTTTCATTTAAGGCAATTTTTGCTTTATTATCTTACATATTCCAGGAATATATATATTCAATAATTTTTAAATTATAGTGTTTGGGTAATAATACTTTAACAGAGTCTTTTGACAAAATAAGAACCCTTTATAGAGTGAATTATTCTGTTCTATCATTTTGAAATGTTATGTGTTGGATTTTCTTAGGAATAACATTGTTTAAATAGCCTGATATCTTAAAATGTAATTGAATAAGGAAATTAAGTTTGGGATGGTAAGTGTTGCTCTTGGTGAGTGTTTTATGACTCCAATGCTTTTATTATGATTTTCCTCAGTATTGCTTTATTGCCATTATGTATAGGTCTAACGTTTTCCTATATAAGATTGTCATAAGGACTAAAAATATCTTTCTTTTCCACTATTATATCCATGGACCATGTAAGCACCTATTAAGTATATGATAAATGATTTATATATTACATTCTTGAAAATTTCCTGACATTGTGATGTAGTATGCAAATAGATGTGTGTGCATACATACACACACATACAATAACCTAATTCAGGACAGAAAAAAGTAAAGAATAATACACCTGAATTGTATTTTCAAAGCTATAAGAGAAGAGAATTGGTGACTTGTACAATGAGAGAGAAACACAAAAAAAATAAGCCAGGTAATACAGAATCCAAATAAAGACAGAAAACAGTCAAGAACAGGGACTCATTTCTGGTGATGATACTAAATGAGTGATTAATGAAGTGACAGAAAAACAAGAAAAAATTTACATTAAAGACTAAAACCATTTCTTTTTTTATTTTGTTTGTTTCGCTGAAAGAGGCTGCTAAGAAATTAATGATATCTACAGAAATGACAGATTACATTTTAGAACTTGAAATAAAAAGGACAGTTTGGCCATTGTCACTAACAGTCAAAAATTTGAATTATTTGATGAAAAATATATCTTGGAAAGGTTTATCTAACTTGAAACATATATTTTCTATCTGTGTTCCCTAGTATTAATGAATCATATGCCTAAATTTTTTATCTAATTTCAAAGAAAATATCTGCCTACTACCAGAAGGAAGGAGGGAAGAAAAATGTTTAGCATACAAATTAAATAATAAATAGTAATAACAAACTGTGGGTGACATCTACAGTTTTTCACAAGACAAAACAAAATATTTCAACTTATTTTCACTAGTTTTTTCTACAATTGTGTCAAAGAAAGCAGTGACGTTTGTGTTAAATAGCTTGTGAAAATTGAACAAAGACTGCACTGGTAAATACATTGCCTTCTTCAGTGAGATTATTTACTTCTTTGACAGTTTCACTGTCGATGAGGACATGAGAAATTGCTTTTACTGCAGGCTGTATGATATGTGGAATTTTTATCAGATGGTTGTTATTAAACATTGTTTAAATGAAAAGTGACACAGTCTCTTTTAATGGGCTGAATGTTCAAAAGATTAGCAAACAAAAAAGCTTCCAGCATGAACTGAATTTTTATGATTTTTCTTGGCACACTGCCATAATATGAAAGTTTTAGATGATTTTAAAAGCTACCTGGAGTGGTCTTAATTCTCAGCCCTCCTGGGAAGCTCCAAAGTACTAAGGATTGTCTTTGGCTTTTTCTTGGGAAACTTCACTTCTTTCTTTGGCCTTTATTGATCTTAACCATCTCCAGAAACACACAGTTTATGCCAACAAATACTTTCAAACACAAAGTAAAAAAGAAAGAGTGATAAAATAAAAAGCAATAACTGTAACCTGATGAAAAATCCAGACTGAGGAAAGTGCTCTGTTTTTTAAGTAAACAAAAAAACTGATACTTTATTTACAACTCCAGCTATATTTCCATTTCTTGCATGACCTTAAAAAACACATTCCACTGTGTAAACCAGAATAATTTCATATAATTTTTACTAAAAGATTATATAAATATTAGTATATTAAAAATAACAAAAATGCTTTATAGTCATATGCTGTTATTCTTTAATGAATATCTATTTTAGGTAGATATCAGTAATTAAATAATTATATTTGCAGAAAAGGGGAGGATTAGGTATAGAGTTACGTGTTAGTGAGTAATACGAATATATTGAAATAGTTACTGTTTCAAATGTTTTACACTAAGCCTTTGCAATATCTGGAGCAAAAATTAAGTAGACAAACGTCTTCAGAATCTGTCTTATACAAGCAACTTGCAATTGCACTAATTAACATGACCTTATGGTAACACCCTGGATTTAAAGCTTTTTAATGGCACATATAGTATTAGTTGATATGTTTATATTTTCTAGCACAATAATGGTAGGTAATTTATTAATAAATTACAGAAACTCTTTATGTTATTCACATAAGTAACTTACATTTCTTTCTTCTAACTATATTTAATCATAAACCAATGTTATACATCTAAATTATCTTTTGCAATTCTTCTGCTTGTCTGATTGGCTACATTTGATATAATTAATCATGTTTTCTTTGACAAAATCTATTTACTCTTGTCTTGCATCATAACACAACTATGTATTTATTTGTGTATATATATTTATTTAATATAGTTTTATATAAATTATATAGATATGTTTCTGTAGATATAAAATCTTTGTTAGTTTTGTTTGAATAGTCTAGATTACTCTGTATTGTATCTCCAAGTTTTTCTGTTTTCTCCTCTATTATCAATTTTAGGTTGTAATTGCTCAAAATTCTGCCAAGTTTCTTCTCACTTTTACATTCTTTCACTAATTAACATCATCAAATTTATACTGAGGGTCAATGATAAGCCATGAACCAAGTCATCTCAAAATTATCACACCTCTGAGACTACTAACTCAAACTTCCAAATCTCCAATCATAATCTTTTATTCTGTGAAACTTTGATTGATAAAGAACTCCCACTCAAACTGCTATATGACTTCAATGACATCTCCATTTTGATGCCTTTACTTTTTCTCCATTTTTTACCTAACAATAAATCAATATATACAAGCTATATAATTGAGCTTTTGAATTGAAGTTCAATGAATTTAGTGTGTCCAACCTGTATCCCATTACGCTTTTCCTCTCAGACCAAAATACATGCCACTTTTCAAAGGTTTCTTCTCTCATAAGAGACAATACGCAAGTTCAAGTCAGAATTCCAAAAGGTCATCTAAACTTTCACATGCATCCATGTGAAGAGACCACCAAACAGGCTTCGTGTGAGCAATAAAGCTTTTTAATCACCTGGGGGCAGGGGCGGAGGTCACAAGGTTCTCAGTGGGGGAGCTTCTGAGCCAGGAGAAGGAATTTCACAAGGTAATGTCATCAGTTAAGGCAGGAACTGGCCTTTTTCCCTTCTTTTGTGATTCTTCAGTTACTTCAGGCCATCTGGATGTACACGTGCAGGTCACAGGAAATATGATGGCTTAGCTTGCGCCCAGAGGCCTGACATTCCTGTCTTCTTATATTAATAAGAAAAATAAAATGAAATAGTGGTAAAGTGTTGGGGTGGCAAAAATTTTTGGGGGTGGCATGGAGAGATAATGGGCGATGTTTCTCATGGCTGTTGTAAGCAGGATTAGGGGCGGTATGGGAACCTAGAGTGGGAGAGATTAAGCTGAAGGAAGATTTTGTGGTAAGAGGCAATATTGTGGGGTTGTTAAAAGGAGCATTTGTCATATAGAAGGATTGGTGATAGCCTGGATGCGGTTTTGTATGAATTGAGAAACTAAACAGAAGACACAAGGTCTGAATAAGATAAGGAGAAAAACAGGTATTGAAGGACTAAGAATTAGGAGGACCCAGGACATCCAATTGGAGAGTGCCCAAGGGGGTTCAGCATAATTACTTGCTTGGTTGGTGAGTTTTTAGGCTCTATCCAAGTTTTTGGGGTGCAGTTCAAGTTGGGCTGGTGTCTGGAATGTGACTGGGGCCTAATAAAAAGGAGTGTCCATAAAAGAGCTCAAATGGGCTGTAACCTATAGCAATCAGAGGACAGCCCCGAATTCTGAGAAAGCCAAGTGGTAAATTTCACGTGCATCCATGTGAAGAGACCACCAAACAGGCTTTGTGTGAGCAATAAAGCTTTTTAATCACATGGGTGCAGGGGGGCTGAGTCCGAAAAGAGAGTCAGTGAAGGGAGATAGGGGCGGGTCCATTTTATAGGATTTGTGTAGGTAGTGGAAAATTACAGTCAAAGTGGGTTGTTCTCTGGCTGGCAGGGGCAGGGGTCAGAAGGTGCTCAGTAGGGGAACTTTCGAGCCATAATGAGCCAGGAGAAGGAATTTCACAAGGTAATGTCATCAGTTAAGGCAGGAACCAGCCATTTTCACTTCTTTTGTGATTCTTCAGTTACTTCAGGCCATCTGGAAGAATACAGGCAGGTTTGGGCTCAGAGGCCTGACATTAGTGTCTTCTTACATTAATAAGAAAAATAAAACAAAATAGTGTTCAAGTGTTGGGGTGGCGAAAATTTTGGGGGGTGGTATGGAGAGATAATGGGCAATGTTTCTCAGGGCTGCATCGAGCGGGATTAGGGGTGGCCTGGGATCCTAGAGTGGGAGAGATTAACCTGAAGGAAGATTTTGTAGTAAGGAGTAATATTGTGGGGTTTTAGAAGGAGCATTTGTCATATAGAATGATTGGTGATGACCTGGCTGCAGTTTTGTATGAATTGAGAAACCAAGCAGAAGATACGAGATCCGAATAAAAGAAGGAGAAAAATAGATATTAAAGGACTAAGAATTGGGAGGACCCAGGACATCGGATTAGAGAGTGCTTAAGGGGGTTCAGCATAATTACCTGCTTGGTTGGTGAGTTTTTGGGAAGAGATCATTAGTCCATTTTACCTTTCCTGAAGATTGAGGATGGTAAGGGGTATGAAGGTTCTACTGAATACCAAGAGCCTGAGAAACTGCTTGGGTGATTTGACTAATAAAGGCCGGTCCATTATCGGATTGTATAGAGGTGGGAAGGCCAAACTGAGGAATTATGTCTGACAGAAGGGAAGAAATGACCATGGTGGCCTTCTCATGCCCTGTAGGAAAGGCCTCTACCCATCCAGTGAAAGTGTCTACGCAGACCAAGAGGTATTTTAGTTTCCTGACTCAGGGCATGTGAGTAAAGTTAATTTTCCAGTCCTGGGTGGGCACAAATCCTCCAGCTTGATGTGTAGGGAAGGGAGGGGGCCTGAACAATCCCTGAGGAGTAGTAGAATAGCAGATGGAACACTGAGAAGTGATTTCCTTGAGGTTAGATTTCCATGATGGAAAGAAAATGAGAGGTTCTAAGGCAGGCTAGTGGCTTGTAACCTACATGGAAGAGGTTATGAAATGATGATAGAATAGAATGGGCCCATGAGGCTGGAAGGAGATATTTTCCTTGGTCCAAGAACCATTTGCCTTGTGTGGGAAGAGATTGATAGGTGGAAGTTTCAGTGGGAGAGCACGTGGGATTGATCAATAAGAAGGAGAAAAGCTGACCATGAGGGACAGAAGTTGGAATGCTAGCTGCTTCTTTAGCTACCTTATCAGCATAAGTGTTGCCCTGAGCGATGGGATCTGATGCCTTTTGGTGGCCCTTGCAGTGTATGACTCCAGCTTCCTTTGGAGGTAAAGCGACCTTGAGAAGAGTTTTTATTAAAGAGGAATTAATGATGGAGGACCCTTGTGTAGTGAGGAAACCTCTTTCAGCCCATATAACAGCATGGTAGTGCAGTATATGGAAGGCATGTTTAGAGTCACTATAAATATTGACATGTAATTCCTTTGCAAGAGTGAGGGCTCAAGTTAAGGCAATGAGTTTGGCTTGCTGAGAGGTAGAGGAGGGGGGCAGAGCAGTAGCCTCAATGATAGATGTGGAAGATACTATAGCATAGCCTGCTTTTGCTGGTCTGTGGCGATTAGTCCTGGTGGAACTGCCATCAATAAACCAGGTGTGATCAGGGTGAGGAACAGGAAAGAAGGAAATATGGGGAAATGGAGTGAATGTCAGGTGGATCAAAGAGATACAGTCATGGGGGTCAGATGTGGTCTCTGGAATAATGTGGAAGGCCAGATTGAAGTCTGGGCCAGGAACAATTGTAACTGTGGGAGACTCAACAAAGAGTGAGTATAGCTGAAGAAGCCGGGGAGCAGAAAGTATATGCATCAGGTGGGAGGAAGAGAATAGATTTTGGAAGTTATGAGAACTGTAGAGAGTGAGCTGAGCATACTTTATGATTTGTAAGGCCTCTAAAAGTATTAGGGCCACGGCAGCTGCTGCAGGGAGACATGATGGCCAGCCTAAAACAGTAAGGTCAAGTTGTTTGAACAAAAAGGCTACAGGGTGTGGTCCCGGTACTTGTATAAGAATTCTGACTACATGGTCTTGCGCTTCGGCTGTGTGTAATGAAAAGGGTTGGGATGAGTCAGGGAGAGCTAGTGTGAGAGCAGTCTCTAAAGCTATCTTCATGGAACGAAAAGAGGAGTGGGGAAAGGATTTAAGATCCATGGAGTCAGGTATGTTTATCTAGAATAGAATAATGGGTTGTGGAGGGAGGTATTGAGGATAGGAGAGTATATGGGTTTGGAGCCACGGGGTGGATAGGCAAGACAATTTGGTTGATAAAGCACAGATCCTGAACTAACCTGTAAGGCTTGTCTGGTTTTTGGACAGGTAAAATGGGGGAATTGTAAGGAGAATTTATAGGCTTTAAAAGGCCATGCTGAAACAGGCGAGTGATAACAGGCTTTAATCCTTTTAAAGAGTGCTGTGGGATGGGATATTGGCATTGAGCAGGGTAAGAGTGATTAGGTTTTAATGGGATGGTAAGGGATGCGTGATTGGTCACCAAGGAGGGAGCAGAGGTGTCCTATACTTGTGGGTTAAGGTGGAGAGATACAAGGGGAGGATGTGAAGGAGGCTTTGAACTGGGGAAAAGGGCAGCAATGAGGTGCGGTTGTAGCCTAGGAATAGTCAGGGAAGCAGATAATTTAGTTAAAATGCCTAGACCTAATAACGGAGCTGGGAAAGTGGGGATAAATAAAAAGGAGTGCATAAAAAAATATTGTCCAAGTTGGCACCACAGTTGGGGAGTTTCAAGAGGTTTAGAAGCCTGACCGTCAATACTCACAACAGTTATGGAGGCAAGGGAAACAGGCCCTTGAAAAGAAGGTAATGTAGAGTGGGTAGCCTCTGTATTGATTAAGAAGGGGATGGACTTACCCTCCACTGTAAGAGTTACCCAAAGCATCTGTGATGGTCCAGGAAGCTTCTGAGGTGATTGGGCAGCATCAGTCTTCAGCTGCTAAGCCAAGAAGATCTGGGAAGGAGTCAGTCAGAGAGCCTTGGGCCAGAGTTCCAGGGGCTCTGGGAGTGGCTGCTGGGTGAGTTGGACAGTCCGATTTCCATTGGGGTCCCACACAGAAGGGACAAGGCTTAGGAGGAATCTCAGGCTGCAGGCATTCCTTGGCCCAGTGGCCAGATTTCTGGCCCTTGAAGCAAGATCCTGATGGAGAAGGTCCTGTAGGAATGCTTAACTGCTGTGGCTTAGGCATTTTGAAGTTCTTGTGTGCTGGATATGTGGCTGGGGTTTCTCTCACAGTGAAGGCAAGGAATTGCAACTCAGAAATACATTGCTACTTGGCTGCCTCTACTCTATTATTGTACACCTTGAAAGCAAGGTTAATTAAGTCCTGTTGTGGGGTTTGAGGGCCGGAATCTAATTTTTGGAGCTTTATTTAATGTTGGGAGTAGATTGGGTAATAAAATAAAGTGCATATTGAGAATAAGATGGCCTTCTGACCTTTCAGGGTCCAGGGCTGTAAAGCATCTCAGGGTTGCTGTCAAACGAGCCATGAACTGGGCTGAGTTTTTATATTTGAAGAAAAAGAGCCTAAACACTAACTGATTTGGGAGAGGTCGGATAAAGAAAAAGGAGCATTAACCTTGACTATGCCTTTAGCTCTAGGCACCTCTTTAAGAGGAAATTGTTGGGCAGGTAGGGGAGGGCTAGTCGTGGAATGAAACTGTAAACAGGACTGGGTGTGAGAAGGGGAGGTGATAAAAGGATTATAGGGTGGGGGAGTGGAGGCTGAGGAAGAATTGGAACCTGGCTCAGCCCAGTGAGGAGTAGCCTGGGGAGGAGGGGAGAGGTCAGATGGGTCTTTAAAAAAGGAAGATTGGAAAGTCTCAGGAACACTTGGGGTTGGGACTGAGGG
Source organism: Homo sapiens (assembly GCF_000001405.40). Lineage (NCBI taxonomy): Eukaryota > Metazoa > Chordata > Mammalia > Primates > Hominidae > Homo > Homo sapiens. The sequence goes on from NC_000003.12 coordinate 84,191,981, forward strand.
GACAGGCAGGAGGGAAAGAAGGAAGATTTGGGACGAGTTGCATTGGGAAGAGAGACTAGGGAGGGACTGATATGTAAAAGAATGCCTGGATGTCAGGCACCGCAGACCATTTGCCCATTTTACGACAAGAATTATCTAGATCTTGTAAGATGGAAATATCAAAAGTTTTCTGGCTACTTGGAACCATTATTGAGTTTGTATTGGGGTTAAGTGGCATTGCAGAAGAAAATAAGGCATTTAGGTTTTAGGTCAGGTGTGAGTTGAAGAGGTTTTAAGTTCTTGAAGAACACAGGCTAAGGGAGAAGAAGGAGGAATGGAGGGTGAAAGTTCGCCTATAGTGAAGGAGGCAAGTCCAGAGAAAAGAGAAGGTGGAGACATGGAGAGAAGGGATGGGGGGTGCTTGCCCCCCAGGTAAGTGGAGAGAAAAGAGAGGGTAGAGACATGGAGAGAAGGGGTCGGGGGGTGCTTGCCCCCCAAGAAAGTGGAGAAGGGGTGGGGGGTGCTTGCCCCCCAGGAAAGTGGAGAGAAAAGAGAGGGTAGAGACACGGAGAGAAGGCGTGGGGAGGTGCTTGCCCCCCAGGAAAGTGGTGTTTGCCACTAAGGGTGAAGGATCAAGACAGGCATCCCCGCAGTGATCAGACACCTCTGAAACGTGGGTGAATAATCAAGCAGGTGTCCCCGCAATGATTAAACACCAAGGAAAGACTGTCTTCCCGAGTCCGTGACCAGTGACCAGTGCTGGAGTTTTGAGTTCATGGATAAAACACATCTCCTCTCTCTCTACCAGAAAAGGAAAGGAACTGAAATTAAGAGAAAGGAGAGCTTGAAAGATGGCACCAAGATTGAAAGGAGAAAGAGATTGAGGGATAGTGAGAGAGGTTGGAGAAGAGAGTAAAAAGAGGCTGCTTACCCCATTTAAAATTGGTGTGATGTTCCTTGGGCTGGTTGGTCTGAGGACCTGAGGTCGTAGGTGGATCTTTCTCAGGGAGCAAAGAGCAGGAGGACAGGGGATTAATCTCCCAAGGGAGGTCCCCCGATCCGAGTCATGGCACCAAATTTCACGCACGTCCATGTGAAGAGACCACCAAACAGACTTTGTGTGAGCAGTGAAGCTTTTTAATCACCTGGATGCAAGTGGGCTGAGTCCAAAAAGGGAGTCAGCGAAAGGAGATAGGGGTGCAGCCGTTTTATAGGATTTGGGTGGGTAGTGGAAAATTACAGTCAAAGGGGGTTGTTCTCTGACAGGCAGGGGTGGGGGGTCACAAGGTGCTCAGTGGGGGAGCTTCTGAGCCAGGAGAAGGAATTTCACAAGGTAATGCCATCAGTTAAGGCAGGAACTGGACATTTTCACTTCTTTTGTCATTCTTCAGTTACTTCAGGCCATCTGGATGTATACGTGCAGACTTGGGCCCAGAGGCCTGACATGAACAATCTCCATGTCCAGTACTTTTCACATTCCTATAAATTCTACATATTAAATATCTTTAATTCTGGCCACCTTCATTTATGTCTACTGCAAGAATGTTAATCCAAATGTTGATACTCATATTTTACAGAAATTAAATGAGCTTTGGTTATCCACATTTTCTCCTCACCCTTTCATGATTTCAATACATTCTTCTCACAGCAATTAAAGTCTTAAAATATGAACTATATAAAGTCATTTATTTAGATACTTAATATTCTTTAATACTTTTCAGTTTCTCTTAAAATAAACTTCCAATATTTAAAAGACCCTATACTCTTTTAAACAGGCATTACTCATAAGAAACTGAATTAATATGTGAATGTTTTCTCCTGTAAAACTGCATAGAAGAAAAGTAAATTACTTCAATTCAGCGAGGCTTTTATATGTAAAAGGATGGTATTTTTAGAAATTATTAAATCAAGTTTGTTTGTTTGTCTTTCTGATTTAACCTATAGAGGATTTCTAAGTGGTATGAAAGCACTCCTCTTTTCCAGAGATTTCTATAGAAATATGTTTTAAATTATGCTATGTCACACTTAGTACTATGGCTAAATATGGGCATAAAACCTTTTTATTAACATCTTTTATCCCAGATGAGAAAATGCTAAAATATTTAAAGAAAAAATCTTTAATAAAATCTCAAGCGTTTTCTAGCCTTGCATATAGGAAACTCCAATTCCATCCCAGCCTAGCCATCTGTTCTTCCAAGGGTAGGAGGAGAAGTGAATTTGAGAAGCACTTGTGAAATTTACAGTTCAAAAGCACAGGCTTACTAAAGACTAAGGCTTAATCATAGGATGCTTCCCTCTGCCACACCTTAACACTACATTCCTAAAGACCTAAAAGGAACTTACTTGTTCCTTTTACTCAATGCTATAGTTTGGATTTATTGTGTTTCCTCCAGAATTCATGTTGAAGTTTAATTTCCAGTGCAACAGCATTAAGAAGTGAGGCCTTTAGGAAGTTATTAGAACAAGATGGCTCCACCCTCATGAATGTGATTAGTGCCTCTTAAAAAGACTTAAGGAAATTAGCTAGATTCTTTTGCCCTTCTGCCTTCTAACATATGAAGATAAAGCATTCACCTCTTCTGCCATGTGAGAACACAGCAATACTGCATCATTTTTTGAAAAGAGAGAACAATCTCTCACTGGACACTGAATCTGCCAATACCTTGATCTTGCACCTCCCAGGCTCCAGAGCTCTTAGAAAATAAATTTATGTTTTATATACTTACCCTGTCTTGTGCATTTTATTATAGCAGCAGAAACAGACTAAGATAACCGCATATTATGTTTAGCTATCAAGAAAAAAATTACAAGGCATACCAAAGGCACAAAACACAATTTGAAGAGATAGACTAAGCATTAGAACCAAATCCAGATTTGTCAGGGAGGCTGTAATTATCATAACAGACATTAAAACAAATGTAATTAATATGCTAAAGAGCCTAATGAGTAAAGTAGACTGTATCAAAAACAGATGAACAATTAAAGTAGAGAGAAGGAAATTCTAAAAAAATGATCAAAAAGAAAGGCTAGAGATCAAACACTGTAACAGAAATTAACAAGATCTTTCATAGGCTGGACAGTAAACTGGACAATACCAAAGAAGAATCTCTGAGCCTGAGGATACTTCAGTAGAAACTTTCAAAACTGAAAAGGAGAGAGGAAAAAGAAAACAGGGAACAGTGTATCCATGAATTGTGGGACAATTACAAAACATCTTATACACATATAATGGGATTAATAGAAGGAGAAGGAAGAGAGATAGGGAAAAAATATTTGAAACAATAAAGACTGAGAATTTTTCCCAAATTAATGTCAAATAACCAAACAACAGATCAGATAACCAAGAAAAGAAGCTCAGAGAACACCAGCAAAATATTTGCCAAAACCCCTATAACTAGACATATTGATTCATACTACAGAAAATCAATCTTGAAATAAGCCAGAGGGAAAAAATAGTACCTTCTGTATAGAAGAGCAAAGATAAGAATTATGTCTGACTTCTCAGAAACTATACAAGCATTAAGATTGTAAAATGAAATATTTAAAGAGTTGAGAGAAAAAAATACCCAACAACCAAGAATTCTGTTCTCTATGAAATTACCTTTCAAAAGCGAGGAAGAAATAGACTTGTTCATACAAACCCACATTGAGAGATTTGTTGCCAGTTGGTCTGCTATGCAAGAAAATTAAAAGAAGTTCTTTAAAGAGAAGAAAAATTATCCAGATCAGAAACAGATCCATTTATAAAATAGGAAGAGCATAAAAGAAAGTAAGTAAAAGTGAAAAAAAAATATTTTTTCCTTATTCTTAATTGATCTAACATAACAGTTTGTTCAAAATAATAGCAACAATCTATTTTATTGGTTTGCATATGTATGTAAGCTTGTTTACGCTTACATGTAAGTAAAATAATAACATCAATGATGCAAGAAATGGGAGGAGGAATTAGGGTTATTATATTATACAAAGTAATAATAATTACAAGTACTTGAAGTACCTGTGAAGCAGTACAGTGTTGTGGTTTTTGTTTGTTTGTCTGTTTTGTTTTTTTCCTTGAGACAGGGTCTTTCTCTGTCACCCAGGCTGAAGTGCAGTGGTATGAACATAGTTCACCACAGCCCCGATCTCTCAGGATCAAGCAAACAACCCACCTCAGCCTCCCAAGTAGCCGGGACTACAGGCACATGCTACGGCACCTGGCTAATTTTATTTATTTATTTATTTTTTGTAGAGATGGGATCTCACTATGTTGCCCAGGCTGGTCTTGAACTCCTGAACTCAAGTGATTTCCCCACCTCAGCCTCCCAAAGTGCTAGGATTACAAGTGTGAGCCACCACACCATATACTGTTATTTTTTAAGTGGACTTGGATTATCTGTAACAGCATATTGCAGAGGGAGGGGATTCAAGTTGGCTGACTAGCGGTATCTGGTACTTGCCTCCTTCACAAAGAGGAACTACAATAGCAGGCAGATTATCACATATCACATAGACCATATAAGGGAGAACATTGATATTCAGTAGAGAAGTGAGAGGAAACACCTAAGACAAGGAAGGAGAGGAAAGCACGGGAGCTTGGTTATCTGGGCCCTGCTGGGAACTTAGAGAGACTCTCCAATTTGGGGAAAGAGTAAGTTAGCGGACCCTAGCAGCCTGCATTCCTACCACAGTCTCCTCCAATCCTAGGCAGAAGAGGCCCACTTTACCCTCAAAGGCCCTGAGAGTAACATAGGGAGCTGCCTGGAGACAGTGAGTTGGCATTGTCCAGAGAGAAAGCTAATGCTGCTTCCCACCTTCCCCTGAAGTCTTAAGCTAGAGTATGGCACTATTTTGAGAGCCCAGCTCCCACCAGGTAGCATCCTGCTCTGGAGCCCAACAACCCCTACAACTCCACATCCCTAGAGCTCCATAGACATCCCCTACCCCTAGACAAAATGGTGGCTGGCTGCTGCTTTCAGAGCTGTAATGCAAGCTATTGGCAGTGACCTAACTATCCCCAGTAGTGAGGCCATTATGCATTTACAAGCATAATGTAGGTTTCATTATAGGCAGTGGCAGGGTCATCCTAAGGCCCCTGGTGTAATATCTGAGTTGGGGCAGCAGTGGCTGCAGCTGTAAGCAGGCAGTTGGGAAGTGTGTAGCTCAGTTATCACCCTGCTTGCAGCTATCACCTGGGTCCAAAATACATACTCCCCAACTGCCTGCCTACAGTTGTAGCCACTGCTGCACCAAGTCAAGCATTACACCAGGGGCCTGTGCATTACCCTGCCACTGACTATCATAGCTAGCAGCGACATGCACCACAAAGGGTCCTGAAGAAAGATCTGAGTGGCACAGATGTGCTCCATTTCCACTCAGCACCTGAACTCACCAATCAGGAGCCTGAGAATAGCCCTGCCCAGTCTATCACCATTAGTACTTTAACATTCATCCTAGGGGCCAGAGGGCAAGCCCACGTGACACACCTTTACCACCACAGCTATCATTCATCCATATGTGCCACCCTCAGGCCTGGGAATATGCCCCCACCAAGCCTGTTGCAGCCACTGCCAACACAAGCACATATGGGAATGAGATGGTTATCATACCAGTGCTACTACTTCTGTTCATGCCATGCTCACTGCCCAGGGACCCGAAGGTCTGCCCAACCAGCCAGCTCTCTGCTGCCATTGCTGTCACCCAAGCAAGCTGGCTGGAGGCCTAAGAATAGCCTACCTGAATCTGTTAACTTTGGTGCCACCGTATGTTGCCCTGTGGCCCAAAGACAGGCTTAACAACAACATTTATAAAATCCTGAAACTAAAATTCAAATAATATTTAAAAACTCAGTGAGATACATAAGAATGAACATTAAAAATACAAATAAATCAGAAATACAATTCAGAATATAAGTGAGAAATTTACCAAAGAGATAGATATCATAAAAAAGAACCAAACAAAAATTCTGAAACTGAAAAATTCATTGATTGAAATTAAAACAGAAGACATTTGAAAATTTCAACAATAGACTGGACCAAGCAGAAGAAAGAATTTTAGAACTTGAAGACAGTTCTTTTGAAATAATCCAGTCAGATGAAAATATAGGAAGAAAACAAAGAATAATGAACAAAGTTTATGTGACATAGGGGATATCATAAAGTGACCAAATATTTGAATTTTAAGTGTGCAGAAGGCAAAGTATAAATAAAAGAGACAGAAAATCTATTTAATGAAATTATAACTGAAATAATTTCAAGTCTAGCAAGAGATTAGATAAGCAAAAACAGGGAGCTCACAGATTTCCAAATAGATCAAATTCTAAAAGGTCTTCTCTATACGTTACAGTCAAACTGTCAAAAGTCAGAGAAATTCTAAAAACAGCAACAAAAACTGTCTAATCACTTATAAGGGAAGCCCTATAAGACTAACAGCAAATTTCTTGGCAGAAACATTATAAGCTTGGTGAGAATGGAATGGTATATACAGACACTGAAGAAAAAAAATTAAAATGTCAGCCAAGCATATTATACCTAGCAAAGTTATACTTCATTAAAAAAATAAAGGAAACAAATATAGACTTGCTGAATGTGTAAAAAACCATGACCCAACTCTATGCTGCAAGAAATTCTTCTCACCTTTAAAGGCACTTATAAATTGAAAGCAAAACAACAAAAATGACATTCCATGCAAACAGAAACAAGCAGGAGTAGCTGTACTTATACCTGATAAAACAAGCCTTATGTCAAAAACAGTAAAAAGAGAAAGAGAAGCTTATTACATAATAATAAAGCAATAAATCTGCAAGGGAATTTAACAATTTTAAATATATATGAACCCAACACTGAAACATCCAGACATACAAAATAAATAATATTAGACCTAAAGGGAGAGATAGAGTCCAAGGTAATACTTAAAGAGGACTTCAAAACCCCATGCTCAGCACTACAAAGATTATCTAGACAGAAAATTAACAAAGAAGCATTGAATTTAAAAAGCAATTTAGACCAAATGGACTTAACAGACATTCACAAACTATTTCACCCAACAGCTACAGAATATACCATCTTCTCATCAGCATGCGGAAGGTTCTCAAGGATAGACTACAAGTTAGGTGACAAAACAACCCTTAACACATTTTTTAAAATCAAAACATATCCAGTACCTTTTCAGGCTACAATGTAATAACATTAAAATCTACTAACAGGAGGAAATTTGGAAACTCCACAAACACATGGAAATTAAACAATATGCTCCTGAATGACCATTGTGTCAAGGAGGAAATAAAGAGGAAATCAAAAAAATTGAGACAAAAAATATACATAAATACAACATACAAAAACCTATGAGATACAGCAAAAACAATGCTAAGAGGGAAGTTTATAGCAATAAATGTCTGCATCAAAAATGTAGAAACACTTCACATAAACAGCCTAATGGTGAACCACAAGGAAATAGAAAAGGAAAAACAAATCAAATAAAAAATTAGTAAAGGACAAGAAATATTACAGATCAGAGCAGAACTGAAATAGGGATTTTTTTTAAATTACCAATAATTAATGAAATAAAAGGTTGATTTTTTGAAAACATAAACAACATTAATAAATTCTAACCTAAACTAATCAAGGTTAAAAAATGAAAGAAGTCCTAAATAAACTCAAAACTAAAAAATGAAACATTACCATGGATAACACAGAAATAAAAAGACCATCAGAGACTACTATAAATATGTATATGGTAACAAACTAGAAATACTTGAAGAAATGAATAAATTTCTGGACACATCCAATCTAACAGAATTTAATCAGGAGGACACAGAAAACCTGAACAGACCAATAATGAGTAATGAGATTGAATAAGTAATAAAAAGTCTCCTAATATATAAAAAGTCAGGACCAAAGGGCTTTACTGCTGAATTCTACCAAACTTACAAAAACTGACAATCCTCCTCAAACTATTTTAACAAATTGAAAAGGAGAAAATTATCTCTAGTTCATTCTATGAAACCCACATTACCTTAATAGCAAAACCAGACAAGAACACACAAGAACAAAAGAAAACTACAGGCCAGTATTTCTGATGAATATAAACACAAAAATCCTCAGCAAAACACAAGCACATTGAATTCTGCAGCACTCCAAAAAGATAACACACCATAATCAAGTGAAATTAGTCCCAGGGATGTAAGGATGCTTCAACATACACAAATCAGTAAGTATGCTGCATCACATTGATAGAAAGAAGGACAAAAATATATGATTTTCTTGAAGTAGAAAAAAAGACATTTAGTAAAATGTAGCATCTTTTCATGACAAAAACTCTCAACAAACTAGGCATGGAAGAAACATATACCCAAATAATGAAAGTCATATATTGACAAACCCACAACGAACAACACACTGAATGGAGAAAAGCCAAAAGTCTTTTGTGTAACAACTGGAATAAGACAGGGATGCCACATTTTTTTTTTCCAGATGGATTTTTGCTTTTGTCACACATGCTGGACTGCAGTGATGCAATCTTGGCTCACTGCAACCTCCGCCTCCCAGGTTCAAGCAATTCTCCTGCCTCAGCCTCCCACATAGCTGGGATTACAGGCGCCCACCACAATGCCTGGCTAATTTTTGTATTTTTAGTAGAGAAGTGATTTCACCATGTTGGCCAGGCTGGTCTTGAACTCTTGACCTCAGATGATCTGCCCTCCTTGGCCCCCCAAAGTGCTGGGATTACAGGAGTGAGCCACCAGGACCAGCCAAAGTTGCCCTCTTTTACCACTCCTGTTCAACACAGTACTAGAATTTCTAGCCAGAGCAACAGGCAAGAGAAAGAAATAAAAGTCATCCAATTGGAACAGAGAAAGTCAAACTGTCCCTCTTTGCAGATGACATGATCTTTTTTTGTTTTTGGTATTGTCACTGCTTTTTGTTTTATTTGTTCTATTAAGTGTGTACAGATATTTCACTATGGTTTTTATTTGCATTTTCTAAATAGCTACTAATATTGACTATCCTTTCATAAGCTTGTCATCCATATGTCCTCTTTAGTGAAATAACTGTCTATGTCTTTTGCCAATTTCCATATTAGATTTTTTCTGTTGAATTTTGAGAGAATTCTTTACATATTACAGAAACTAGTCCTTTGGTGGATTTGTGATTTACAATTTTTTTCTTCCAGTTCATTGCTTGTCTTTTTATCCTCCTAACAAGGTCTTTCTAAGAACAATTTTTAAAATGTTTAAGTCCAAATAATTGACTCTTTTCATATCATGCTATTGGAATCTTTTTAAAATTATGTTTTTATTTTATTTATTTATTTATTTTTATTATTATACTTTAAGTTTTAGGGTACATGTGCACAACATGCAGGTTTGTTACATATGAATACATGTGCCATGTTGATGTGCTGCACCCATTAACTCATCATTTAGCATTAGGTATATCTCCTAATGCTATCACTCCCGCCTTCCCCCACCCAACAACAGGCTCCAGTGTGTGATGTTCCCCTTCCTGTGTCCATGTGTTCTCATTGTTCAATTCCCACCTATGAGTGAGAACATGCGGTGTTCGGGTTTTTTTCCTTGCGATAGTTTGCTGAGAATGATGGTTTCCAGCTTCATCCATGTCCCTACAAAGGACATGAACTCATCATTTTTTATGGCCACATAGTGTTCCATGGTGTATATGTGCCACATTTTCTTAATCCAGTCTATCATTTTTGGACATTTGGGTTGGTTCCAAATCTTTGCTATTGTGAAAAGTGCCGCAATAAACATATGTGTGCATGTGTCTTTATAGCAGCATGATTTATAATCCTTTGGGTATATACCCAGTAATGGGATGGCTGGGTCAAATGGTATTTCTAGTTCTAGATCCCTGAGGAATCGCCATATCGACTTCCACAATGGTTGAACTAGTTCACAGTCCCACCAACAGTGTAAAAATGTTCTTATTTCTCCACATCCTCTCCAGCACCTGTTGTTTCCTGACTTTTTAATGATTGCCATTCTAACTGGTGTGAGATGGTATCTCATTGTGGTTTTCATTTGCATTTCTCTGACGGCCAGTGATGGTGAGCATTTTTTCATGTGTTTTTTGGCTGCATAAATGTCTTCTTTTGAGAAGTGTCTGTTCATATCCTTCGCCTACTTTTTGATGGGGTTGTTTGTTTTTTTCTTGTAAATTTGTTTGAGTTCTTTGTACATTTGTCAGATGAGTAGGTTGCAAAAATTTTCTCCCATTCTGTAGGTTGCCTGTTCACTCTGATGGTGGTTTTTTTTTTTTTTTTTTTTTTGCTGTGCAGAAGCTCTTTAGTTTAATTAGATCTCATTTGTCAATTTTGGCTTTTGTTGCCATTGCTTTTGGTGTTTTAGACATGAAGTCTTTGCCCATGCCTATGTCCTGAATGATATTGCCTAGGTTTTCTTCTAGGGTTTTTATGGTTTTAGGTCTGACATTTAAGTCTTTAATCCATCTTGAATTAATTTTTGTATAAGGTGTAAGGAAGGGATCCAATTTCAGCTTTCTACATATGGCTAGCGAGTTTTCCCAGCACCATTTATTAAATAGGGAATCCTCTCCCCATTTCTTCTTTTTGTCAGGTTTGTCAAAGATCAGATAGTGTAGATATGTGACATTATTTCTGAGGGCTCTGTTCTGTCCCATTGGTCTATATCTCTGTTTTGGTGCCAGTACCATGCTGTTTTGCTTACCGTAGCCTTGTAGTATAGTTTGAAGTCAGGTAGCGTGATGCCTCCAGCTTTGTTCTTTTGGCTTAGGATTGACTTGGCAATGTGGGCTCTTTTTTGGTTCCATATGAACTTTAAAGTAGTTTTTTCCAATTATTTGAAGAAAGTCATTGGTAGCTTGATGAGGATGGCATTGAATCTATAAATTACCTTGGGCAGTATGGCCATTTTCAAGATATTATACTAGAAAAAGCTAAATATTTCACAAAAATCTTTTATATTTGATAAATCAATAAAATTGCAGGATAAAAAACAAAAAATAACAAGTAATGTTTCTGTACACCAATAATGAACTATCTGAGAAATAAATCAAGAAGATAATACCATTTACAATGCTGACCAAAAAAAAAAAAAAAAAAAAAAAAAAAAACTGAAATGAAACACCTAGGAATAAATAGAACCAAGGAGGAAAAAATCCTCTAAAGTAAAACTACTGAACACTAATGAAAGAAACTGAAAGATGCACAAACACATGGAAAGACATCCCATGTTCATAGATAGATTGGTATTATCAAAATAACCACACTACCCCCAAAAAATCTACAGATTCAATGCAATTACTGTAAAAACACTAATGGCATTTTTCACATGAGTAGAAAACAGATACCTAAAATTTGTATGGAACCAAAAATATCCCAAGTTGTCAAAGCAATCCTGAGCACAAAGAACAAATCTGGAGTTATCACACTACTTGACTTCAAAATATATTAAAAGTTTAGTGTAATCAAAACTGCATGATACTGGTACCAAAGTAGATACACGGACTAATGGAATAGAATAGAGAGCTCTGAAATAATGTTGCACACTTAAAATCATGTGATCATCAAGAAAGCTGACAAAAACTAGCAATGGAGAAAGGACTCTCTTTTCAATAAACAGTGCTGGAATAACTGGCTAGTCATATGCAGAAGATTGGGACCACACTCCTTCCTTCTACCACATACAAAAAAACTCAAGATGAATTAAAGACTTAAATGTAAAACCCCTAACTATAAAATCCCTGGAAGATGACCTAGGAAATACCATTCTGGACACAGGAACTGGCAATATTTCATGATGAAGATACCAAAAGCAATTGCAACAAAAGCAAAAATCGACAAATGGGATTTAATTAAGCTAAACAGCTTCTGCACAGCAAAAGAAAGCATCAACAGAATAAACAGACAATGTCCAGAATGGGGAGAAACTATGTTCAAACTATGCATCTGACAAATGTGTAATATCCAGAATACATAAAGAACTTGAATAAATTTATAAGCAAAAACCAATAAATTCAGTTAAAAAGTTTGCCAAGGATATAAACAGTTTTCAAAAGAATATATACATGCAGCCAAGAAGCATATGAAAAAAAGCTCAACATCATTGATCATTAGAAAATGTAAATCAAAATCACAGTGAGATACTATTTCATACCAATCAGAATGGCTATTACTAAAAAGTCAAAAAAATAACAGTTGCTGACAAGGTTGCAGGGAAAAGGGAACACTTATACACTGTTGGTGGAAGTATGAGGTAGTTCAACCATTGTGGAAAGCAGTGTGGCAATTTCTCAAAGACCTAAAAACAGAAATAGCATTTGACCCATTTTGGGGTATGTACCCCCAAAATAGAAATTGTTTTACCATAAAAACACATGCACAGGTATGTTCATTGCAGTACTATTCACAATAGAGAAGACATGAAATCAACCTAAAATGTGGTACATTTATGACACGGACTACTATGCAGCCATAATAAAAAAAAGTGAGATCATGTCTTATGCAGAAATATGCATAGTTTTGGGGCAATTATCTTAAGCAAACTTATGCAGGAACAGAAAACTAAATACCGCGTGTTTTCATTTATTAGTGGAGGCTAACAATGAGAATGCATGGATAAAAAGAGAGGAACAACAGACTCCGAGGCCTACATGAGGGTGAATGGTGAGAGAAAGGTGGAGATTAGAACAAATAACTATCAGGTACTATGCTTAGTACCTGGATAATGAAATAATTCTTACCTCAAACCCCTGTGACATGAGTTTACCTGTATGACAAACCTGTCCATGTACCCCTGAATGTTAAATAAAAGTTTAAAAAATTAGAAAATCAAATTGAACAATATGTAAAAGAATTACATGCTACAATCAAGTGGTGCTTATCACAATTATGCAAAGCTGATTTAACATTAGAAAAAGCACTTAATGTAACCCATCATATCCATAGCTTCATGAAGAAAACTCACATGATCACTGAAAGATGCAGGAAAAGCATTTTACAAAATTTAGTGATTCATTACAAAAACTCTCAGTAAGCTAGAAATAGGGGATAATTTCTTCAACTTGATAAGGAATATCTACAAAAATCTCTCTTGGCTAGCATTATAGTTAATGGTGAGAAACTAGAACTTTTCTACAAAGAGCAGGAACAAGGCAACGATATTCCTTCTCACCATTGCTTTTGAACGTACTAGAAGTTTTAGCCATTGCAATAAAACAAGAAATAAAATGAAACATATATTGATTGAGAAGGAAGAAGAAGAACTATTTTTTTATTTGACATAATCATTTATATAGAAAATCCAAAAGGATTGACAAATAAACTCCTGGAATTAGTGATTACAGCAAGGTTGCAGGATGCAAAGTTAATATGCAGTAGTCAATTACTTTCATATATACAGCAATGAGCAAATGGAATTTTAAATTAAAATACAATACTATTTACATTAGCATCCTTAAATGTATGAAATGCTCAGGTGTAAATATACTAAACATTTACAAGGTCTATATGAAGAAAATTATAAAACACTGACGCAGTAACCTAAAAACAGAGAGCTATTCCATGTTTACATATGGAAAGGCTCAGTATTTTCAAGATGTTATTTTTTTTCTCAGTTTGACCTATAAATTCAATTTAATCTTAATCAAAATGACATCATGTTACTTTGGAAATATAGACAAATGAATTTAAAGTTTATATAAAGAGGAGAAAGATCCAGAATAACTAACCCAATACTGAAGAAGAAGGAGAACAAAGTTGGAGGATGTACACTATCTTGACTTCAAGTATTACTAATAAACCTAAAGTGATCAGACAGTGTGGTATTAGGGAAAGAACAGATAATTAGTGGAATAGAATAAATAGCCCAGAAATAAGTCCAAATAAATATCATCAATAGACCTTTGACAAGTTGTCAAATGCAACACAATGAAGAAAATATAGTCTTTTCAATAAATGCTATTGAAACAATTGGATATCTGCATTCAAAAAAAGTGAATCTAGATACAGATTTTATACCCTTCACAGTTAACTCAAAATCGATAACGGATCTAAATGTAAACACAAAACTATAAAATTCCTAGGAAATAACACAAGAGAAAATGCATGAATCGTTGAGTTTGGCAATGACACATTAGATGTCAGACCAAATGCGTGATCTATAAAAGAACGAATTGATAACCCTGACTTCATTAAAATTACACATTTATGCTCTCAGAAAGACACTATCAAGAGAATGAAAAGACAAGCCACTAAGTGGTAGAAAATATTTGCAAAAGACATACCTGACAAAGGACCACCATTCAAAATATATTAAAAAAAACCCTCAAAAACTCAACAACGAGAGAACACCACAATTAAAAAACAGGCCTTTAGCCAGGCATGGTGGCAGGTGCCTGTAATCTCAGCTACTCGGGAGGCTGGGGCAGGAGAATCGTGTGAACCTGGGAGCAGGAGGCTGTGGTGAGTCAAGATAGCGCACCTCACTCCAACCTGAGTGACAGAGAGAGATTCTGTCTCAAAAAAAAAAAAAAAAAAATAGGCCAAAGACCTTAACACACACTTTATCAAATAATATTTACAGATGACAAATGAGCATATTAAAATATGTTCCACATCATAGATCAACAGGATAATGCAAATTAGAACAACAATGAGATATCACCCCACAGTATTATAGTAACCACAGTCCAGACCACTGACAACACCAAATGGTGTCAATGATGTGAAATGATGGAAACTCTCACTTATTGTTGGTGAGGATGCAAAATGGTATAGCCACTTTGAAAGACAGTTAAATAGTTTATTATAAAATTAAACATAGCTTTACCATATGATCCACCAATTTTATCCTTGGTTTTTACCCAAAGGAGGTGAAAACCATATTGTACAAAAACCTGCACAGAACATATATAGCAACTTTATTCATAATTGCCAAAACTTGGAAGCAACCAAGATGCCCTTAATTAGGTGAATAAACTGGTATATCCAGACAATGGAATACTATTTAGTGGTAACAAAGATAAACTATCAAGCCATGAGAAGACATAAAGGAAACATAAATGCTTATTATGAAGTGAATCAAGTCACTCTGAAATTGCTCCATGCTGTATTATTCCAAATATATGACACTCTGAAAAAGCACAAAACTGTGGAGACTGAAAAATCTGTGGTTTCCAGGTATAAGGGGAAGACGGAGGATGACCAATTGGAGCATGAAGGATTTTCAGAGCAATGAAACTATTTTTTATGATATGTTAATGGTGATACAAGTCTTTAAACATTAGTCCAAAGCCAGAGACTATACTACACCAATCATAAACTCTCATGTAAATAATGGGCTTTGGATGATAACGGTGTGTTGATGTACATTCTCCAGTGGTAGCAAATGTAACACTCTGGTAGGGGATATTAATCATGGGGAAAATATACATGTGTAAGGGCAGACAGCATATTGGAAATCTTTGAACCTTCCTCTCAGTTTTGCTGTGAAAATAAAATGCCCTATACAATGAATTCTATTTTTAAAAATCTCAAAGATTACAGGACCAGTATACATGTAACTGGATAATCTGACTTAATAAGTAAAGTTGTTTGCATTCTGAGGTGGCATACCCTATATTAACTGATCTCCTGTTGCACCTACATGTTGCAGTGTTGTAAAAGTTTCTATCCAAAAACTCATAATTGGAAATCTCAATTTTTCAAAGCCTAGATATAAGAAAGCAATTTTTTGACAGAAGTATTTTGTTCCCTCCTTCCTAAAAATTTTATTCCTTAATTATTGTTTATTGTCTAACACATTCCTCACTACAGTAGGACTATGAGTGTAATATTAATTTTTTTTTTGAAAAAAGAGAATAAAACAACAGGAGGGGACAGAGTGCATAGTGATTAAGAGCATTGACAATGGCTTAGTCCATGACTCTGTGACTAATGCACATTGTGTCTCAGTTTCCTAGGTTACAAATAGGAGACACTGAAAATAACTACCTTAAAGGATTGACTTTTATGTAAAACTGCCTAGACCAGTACCTGGGATTGAAAACTGTGTAAGTGTTAATTATTACTAACCAAGAAAATTCCTACACAATGAATCCAATATAACATAGAAAGAATATGTCCAACATTTTTCAAATATTGTCCAAAACGAATGACCCTTTCTAAACTCTTCACCTTTTCACATTGGACATACCTAGTTGTGTCAGCTACTTATCATAGAAGAGAGTTTTAAGTATCTGAAACAGCTTAGCTGTCATTTCTCCATATACATTTATGTACATTTCACAACTTAAAATGTGAGCACTAAAACTGAAAAGAAAAAAACCTATAGGTAGTTGTAGTCTGAATGGAGAAGACACTGATATCATTATCTCTACTTTATTCATTTATCCATGTATTTATTTATTCAATCAGTCTGAACTGAGTGCTCACTGTATGCTAAGCACTGACATAGGAGTAGAGGTAAAAAGATTTATTAGAATGAACCACCAGTCATCTGGAGAGACCATTGTCGGAATGAAAATGTTTCAGATAACCCCTGTATTTTCAAAGAAGAGAAAGAATAGCCTTGGCCAATATAGTGGTTGGAGTCCAGACTTAAAAGAAAAGTGTGCCTTAGGAAACAGCAGTCTCAAAGAGGGAAGACGATGTTCAATAAGGCAAAAGGGAACCGTAAGGTATTTCTCTTGAAGTTGATATTGAACTTAAATTGGATTCTATGACTGTGGATGATAACCACAAACATGAGGCTAAAGTCTTCCATGATAAATGTGCTTTCAGGTGGAGGCTAGTTAGTTTCCGAGGACAATTTATTTTGTTTGAATATTCAGTTTCTTATTCTGGTCAGGGGAATGGATTACCTTTTTTTCCATATTGAAATGGCTTGGAGAAAGAAGGTAATATATTATTTCAACACAATAGGAAGATGTTTATTATTAATGTCGCATTGCATTCATCCATTACGTTTATGGGGTCAACAGCAAGAGGACAAATTATGTGTAAGAGTTATATATATATATGTGCATGCATATAAAAAAATTATTAAAATATGCTCTCTCATCTGCCTGTTGTAATTATACCTTCACACAAGTAAAATAAGGAAATTATGTAAAAGGCTATAATATTTATATGAACAAAACCCAGCAAAATACCAGAGACCATTTAATTTATTATTTATGTTGCATGTTTGTTTCACTAAAAAGACAGCAATACTTGAATGAATAATAAAATAAAGATAATATATTATTATATAATTATTTAATAACATATTTTGTCCTCACAGTAGTACATTCTTTGTTATAGTAAGAATGTTTATAGTTTGTGTCCTACCAAAAGTAAATTTCTAAGAAATAAAAATAAATTTACTTGAAAATGTACAAATTTGTATAGATTTTTACAAAAGTATAGATTAAAGTAAGTGTAAAATTCAAACTCTTCAAAATTCTACTGGTCAATATTTATCTTGTTACTGATATAAATTATTGATATCATGAGATCAAAATTTCACCTAAAACTATACATATACTTTTATAGTAAGGAGGGATTATTTAATATTACAATAGGGTTTCAATCACCATGTGCAATTATTCTGAATACTGTGTAATTCTGGAGTATCACTGGAACCATGAATTAAAATAAAAGTGAAGAAAGAAAAATGTTGCTCAGTGCTGCTTGGTGATGATACTTGGTTATGCAGGAATCTGTGGCAGCATTCATGCTGTGAAGAAGAATTTGACAAGTTAATTAGTCTTTTCTCTTACCTAAATGCTTGTGCTGCTCAGATTGTCTCCACACTCTGTCACAGGGCATTCTGGAGTGTAGGCAGCAGCACAATGTACATTTTTTTTTTTTTAATATTCAGACATCCTTTATTTCAAGGACAGGGGCAAGGGATGCAGTAAAGCATTACCTCACTTCCAGAAAGGCATCTCTCACAGGGGCAGGTATTTAGGGTTATGGTCCCACAATGCCAACACTAACCATTGATTCCCAAGTGACAGAAGTACCCACGTATACTTTATAAAATTATTTGTGTGTGTATGTGTGTGTGTGTGTCTGTGTGTCTGTGTGTCTGTGTATCTCCGTGTAGTTATAAACGGTGGGTCCTCTAATGTACCAGCCAAGATCAGAGGCCTCTTCTGCCCTGGTATAAAGGAGATATTCACTGAGGTATATGTAAAGAGCGTTGAAATCACATAAAAAGGTATAACTATTCTGGTTTGGGGGAAAGAAAGAAAGATACATAATTATTTCTTAGAAGTAATATAACTTCGGATGAGTTTGGAGCATGAGAGTAAAGTATTGTTACCGAACCAAACTGGAGTCTGCTCCTCTAGCATAGCAATGCCAGACACTGACATCAGAATTGCAGTCAGAGAAAGTTTTTGCAGGGCACAAAGCAAGGAGAATCAGGAAGCTAATGCTTAAGACCTGAACTCCCCAATGGCTTATTGTTAAGGGTTTTTAAAGATGGGAAGGCAGAGGTGACAGGCAAAGTCATAAATCAATACTTACAGGCTATCCATTGCTTTGACCTGAAGAGGTAAGATATCTTGAAATGGGGACCCATGGGTTATAGGTGGATTCAAAGATTTTCTAATTTGCAACTGGTTCAGGAGGTGAAGTTTTGTTTAAAAAATTTGAGATGATCAGAAAAAAAAATGTTATTTCTGGGGTATGACCTCCTCTAGGTCCCTGAGAAAGGAATTTAGTATTCAGGAAAGAATGACAATCTGAGTTCAGTCCTCAGTTTCCCCTTATCTGAGGTCTATGTTCCAGTGGATTCCTTTGCTGGGGGTCCAGCTTTCTGAAAAAAAAAGAGAAAAATCTGAGGGATCTATTTTAAAATGTTACCTTTAGCTTCTGCAGAAGAACAAAACATCCTGTGATTCTAACTTCTTTGGCTATTCTTTTAAGCAACTATTACCTTATTACTTATTAGGTAGCTTATTTGCTTTTCAGGCATGCTAGGTGCCTGAAATTTCTCTTAAAGGAGCTCAAGGTTTTCATTATTTCCATGTTTGGAGGGCCTCCAGGTCCCTAAGAGGTGTCCCTGTTCCACCTAATTATCTACAGAACTGCACAAACAATATATAATATATTTACTAAACGACTGCCCCCAGCTTTGTTGGCACCAGGGACCAGTTTCATTGAAGACAATTTTTCCACTGACTGAATGGAGGGGATGATTTCAGGATGAAATTGTTCCACCTCAGATCATCAGGCATTAGAGTCTCATAAGGAGCACACAATCTAGATCCCTCGCATACACTGTTTACAATAGGGTTCTTGCTCCTATGAGAATCTAATGCTGCCACTGATCTTTCAGGGGGCAGAGCTCATGTGGCAATGTCCACTCACCTGCCCCTCACCTCATGCAGTGTGACCCAGTTCCTAATAGGCCTCAAAACAGTAAAGATCTGTGGCCCAGGGGTTGGAGACCCCTCTACTAGACAATCTTTGCCTCCGAGGATTTCATTAGCTCTTTTCAGAGCCACATGACACTATTTACTTAGATAATTGATCTTATAGTAAATCAAACTTTAAATTTATTATACATGTAAGAGATTCATAGATGCTATATTCGAATGGTAATATGTATAAATATACACACTGGCTATATGTAAATACAAAGAAAAAATAAAGATTTAGTCCAATACAATGATTTGCATGTGTCCTCCAAAGTTTATAGGTTGGAAACTTAATCTTCAATGCAGCAACATTGAGAGGTGGAAGCTTTAAGAAATGATTAGGTCATGGGTGCCCTGCCCTCATGAATGGATTAATACTGTTATTGCAGTAATTGGTTAGTTATTGCAGGAGTGGGTTTCTGAAAAAAGGATAAATTTGGTTGACCCCCCTTCTCTCTCTCTCTCTCTCCACCCCCCATCTCTCTCTCTGCCATGCATCATCTTTTTCTCTTCCACCTGTTCAATGTGGGATAATGCTGCAAGAAGATCCCGCAAGGTGTGGCTCCTTAATCTTAGACTTCTCAGCCTCCAAAACCATGAATCAAATAAATTTATCTTTATTATAAATTACCCAATTTCAGGTATTCTGTTACAGTAGCACAAAATAGACTAAGACGTTTAACCTATGTAGTTTAAAGATTAGTACATTTAATTTTAGATAAATGAATAGATTCACAAAAGATTCTCCAGAAAATTAATGCCATGATAATGGCAAAGTCTGGATCCTCTTAACTCTTAAGTCCAAAACCTCTATTCAGTTCACAATTATATTATTATTTAAAGAATAAAAATATCTTGGAAAGCAATTTTTACAAGTGTACAATAATTAATATGCTACATGTACTATGTAGGTAACATCTGTGATATATTGTCCTCATTTCTAATAAGTTGATATGTTGTCTATTATTTATTATACATCATTTGTGATCAAACACTTTAAGGAACAATGACAAAAGCTAACAGAAAAAAAAAAGCTGCAACAAGGCAAAACTGCTGAAAGCAGTGCTATGAGCAGATCTCAAAAGAAACCAAAAAAGAGAGTAAATGAAAATCAGGAAAAAAATTAACTGAAGAGCTAGAAATACTCCAGTACCCAGAGAAGATGCTGTTATAAGCTTGGGGAGATATAATTCCTTAAAAAGTGTACCTTTGATAATATATATTACATTATAAGGAACAATGTGTACATTTGTCAAGAAAATATAGTTAAAATTTTTAAACAGTTACAATTTTTCTTCAAAATTTCCATGCCAAAACTATGAGAACATCAAAGCTAACGTAAAGCAAAATTAGAATCAAACTCTGTCATTGATTTGAAGCCAAGATGGCCAACTAGACATGGAAAGGAAGAGCTTTTTGCATCAATAGGCTAGACTGTCAGAAAGACTAGCACACTACTTAGATATCTTCAGAAAAAATGACATTGATAGTGGGCCAATGGAGGACTCAGAAATAACTGAAAGGGGAGGATGCTGGGAGTCTTGCACAGGGTTGTCAAGCACCAGAATTCATTTGTGTCCTTGAGTAGCTCCTAGTGAATGGGTGAATGAAAGAGGTGTGGAGTGGCCAACTCTTGCCATGGACTTGAGAATCTTAGCTGCAGGAAACCACACTTAGCTGAACATTTGAGCTGGCAGCAAGAACCTCCAGGAGAGTTGGCAGAGACAGAATTCCAGGCTACATGGAACCCAGAGAGTTTGGCACAGGAACAGGTTAGTGTTTTTTAATCAACTCAGCCAAACAAAAATAAAGAAAACAAAAGTTTAATGAAGAAAACCTCTGAGAAATATGGGATTATATAAAATGACCAAACCTGGGAGTTAT
Organism: Homo sapiens; assembly: GCF_000001405.40. Lineage (NCBI taxonomy): Eukaryota > Metazoa > Chordata > Mammalia > Primates > Hominidae > Homo > Homo sapiens. The sequence goes on from NC_000003.12 coordinate 84,213,232, forward strand.
TGGCACCCCAGAAAGGGAGGGAGAAAGAGGAAGCAATCTGGAAAACATATTTGAGGATGTTGCTCAAGAAAATTTTCTCAACCTCACTGGAGAGGTTGACATATAAATTCAGGAAATTTATAGAACCACAGTAAGATACTATACAACGCAATCATCCCCAAGACACAAAGTAATCAGATTCTCCAAGGCTAATGTAAACAAAAATATTGAAAGCAGTGAGAGAGAAGGAGCAGAACATATACAAAGGGAGCCCCTTCAGACTAAAGGTAGACCTTTTAGCAGATACCTTACCAGACAGAAGAAACTGGGGGCCTATATTCAGCATCCTCAAAGAAAAGAAATTCCAATGAAGAATTCCATTTCCAGCCAAACTAAGGGTCATAAGCAAAGGAGAAATAAAATCTTTTTAAGACAAGCAAATGCTAAGGGAATTATTTACCAACAGACCTGCCTACAAGAGATCCCGAAGGGAGAGATAAACATAGAAGTGAAAGACTGTTATCTGCCACCACAAAAACACACTTAAGTACATAGCCCACTGATGCTATAAAACAATTATGCAATGCAGTCAACATAACAATCAGCTAGCAACATGAGGATAGGATCAAATTCTCACATATCAATAATAACCTTGAATGTAAACAGGGTAAACACCCCACTTGAAAGACACAGAGTGGCAAGTTGGATAAAGAAGCAAGACCCAACTGTTTGCTGTCTTTGAGAGACCCATCTCACATGCAGTGGCACCCACAGGCCTAAGAAAAGTGATAGAGAAAAATCTATCAAGCAAACAAAAAATAAAAAAGGAATAATTGCTACTCTTATTGGACACAAAAGAGACTTTAAATCAATAATAATCAGAAAGGACAAAGAAGGGAATTACATAATAATAAAGAATTCAACACCACAGGAAGACTTAACTGTCATAACTATATGCACCCAACAGTGGAGCATATAGATTCATAAAGCAATATTTAGAGACCTAGAAAGAAACTTATATAGCTACACAATAATAGTGAGAGACTTTAAAATTCCATTAACAGGATTCATTAAGCCAGAAAACTAACAAAGATATTAAGGAAATAAATCTGACACTTGTATTACTCCATTTTCATGCTGCTGATAAAGACATACCCGAGACTGGGAAGAAAAAGAGGTTTAATTGGACTTACAGTTCTACATGGCTGGGGAGGCCTCAGAATCATAGCGGGAGGCAAAAGACGCTTCTTACATGGTGGCCACAAGAGAAAAATTAGGAAGAAGAAAAAGTGGAAATCCTGGTAAACCCATCAGATGCCATGAGACTTATCTGCTGTCACAAAAATAGCACAGGAAAGATGGGCCCCCAGGATTCAATTACCTCCCCCAGGTCCCTACCACAACATGTGGGAATTCTGGGGGATAAAATTCAAGTTCAGATTTGGGTGGGGACACAGATAAACTATATCATTCCACGCCTGGCCTCTCCAAATCTCGTTTTCACATTTCAAAACTAATCATGCATTCCCAACAGTCCCCCAAACTATTAACTCATTTCAGCATTAACCCAGAAGTCCACAGTTCAAAGTCTCATCTGAGAAAAGCCAAGTCCCTCCCACCTTTGAGCCTGTAAAATCAAAAGCAAGCTTGTTACTTCCTAGTTACAATGGGACTACAGGTATTGGGTAAATACAGCTGTTCCAAATAGGATACATTGGCCAAAACAAAGGGGTTACAGGGCCCATGCAAGTCTGAAATCTAGCAGGGTAGTCAAATTTTAAAGCTCCAAAACGATCTCCTTTGATTCCGGGTCACACGGATACAAGAGATGGATTCTGACAGTCTTGGGAAGCTCCACCTCTGTGGCTTTGCAAGGTATAGCCTCCCTCCCAGCCTCTTTCATGGGCTGGCATTGAGTGTCTGTGGCTTTTCCAGGCAAACTGTGCAAACTTTCGGTGAATCTACCATTCTGGGATCTGGAGGATGGTGGCATTCTTCTCACAGCTCCAAAAGGCAGTGCCCCATTGGGGACTCTGACATTTCCCTTCTGCACTGTCCTAGCAGAGGTTATCCATGAGGGCCTCATCCCTGCAGCAAAATTTTGCCTGCATGTCCAGGCAATTACACACATCTTCTGAAATCTAGATGGAGGTTCCCAAACCTCATTTCCTGACTTCTGTGCACCCACAGGCTCAACACCACATGGAAGCTTCCAAGGCTTGGGGCTTCCACCCTCTGAAGCCACAGCCTGAGCTGTATTTTGGCTCCTTTCAGCCATGGCTGGAGCAGCTGGGACACAGGGAACCAGTCCTTAGACTGCATACAGTACAGGGACCCTGGGCCTGGCCCACAAAACCACTTTTTCCTCCTGGATATCTGGGCCTGTGATGGGAGGGGCTGTGGTGAAGTTCTCTGACATGACCTGGAGATGTTTTCCCCATGGTCTTGGGATTAACATTAGGGCCCTTGCTACTTGTGCAGATTTCTGCAGCCCACTTGAATTACTCCACAGAAAATGTTTTTTTCTTTTCTATCGCATAGTCAGGCTGCAAATTTTACAAACTTTTATGCTCTGCTTCCCTTATAGAACTGAATGCCTTTAACAGTACCCAAGTCACCTCTTGAATGCTTTGCTGCTTACAAATTATTTCCAACAGGGCTGGGTGCAGTGGCTCACTCCTGTAATCCCATCACTTTGGGAGCCTAAGGCAGGCAGATCATGAGTTCAGGATATCGAGACCATCTTGGCCAACAACGTGAAACCCTGTCTCTACTAAAATACAAAAAATTTTCAGGGTATGATGGTGGGCACCTGTAGTCCCAGCTACTCAGGAGGCTGAGGCAGGGGAATCACTTAAACCAGGGGATCAGAGGTTGCAGTGAGTCGAGATTGCACCACTGCACTGCAGCCTGGCGACAGAACAAGACTATATCTCAAAAAAAAATAAAAAATAAAAAGAGAAAGAGAGAAAGAAAGAAATTATTTCCACCAGATAACCTAAATCATCTTTCTCATATTCAAAGTTCCACAAATCTGAAAGGCAGAGGCAAAATGCTGCCAGTCTCTTTGCTAAAACATGATCAGTCACCTCTACTCCAGTTCCCAACAAGTTTCTCATCTGTATTTGAGACCACCTCAGCCTAGACCTTATTGTCCATATCGCTGTCAGCATTTTCTGCAAAGCCATTCAACAAATCTCTAGTAAGTTCCAAACTTTCCCACATTTTCCTATCTTCTTCTGAACCCTCCAAACTGTTCCCACCTCTGCCTATTACCCAGTTCCAAAGTTACTTCCTTGTTTTGGGGTATCTTTTCAGCAACACCCCAGTCTACTGGTACCGATTTACTGTATTAGTTCGTTTTCACACTGCTAATAAAGACATACCCAAGACTGGGAAGGAAAAGAGGTTTAATTGGACTTAAAATTTCACATGGCGGGGGAGGCCTCAGAATCATGGCAGGAGATGAAATGCAGTTCTTATATGGCGGTGGCAAGAGAAAATGAGGGAGATGCAAAAGCAGAAACCCCTGATAAACCCATCAGATATCTTGAGACTTACTCATTATCACAAGAATAGCATGGGAAAGGCCCCCATGATTCAATTACCTCTCCCTCGGGTGGCTCCAACAACACTTGGGAATTCTGGGGGATACAATTTATATTGAGATTTGGGTGGGACCACATCCAAACCATATCAACGCTTGACCAAATGGACTGAACAGACATCTGCAGAACACTCCACCCAACAACAGAATAGATGTTGTTCTCATCTGCACATGGCACATATTCTAAGATTGATCACAAATTCAGCCATAAGGAAATTGTCAAAACATTACAAAAGAAAATTCAAAATTATACCAACCACAGTCTTGGAATACAGCACAATCAAAATAGAAATCAATACCAAGAAGATATTTGAAAACCATACAATTGTATGGGAATGAGGCAACCCACTCCTGAATGAGTTTTGGGTCAACAATAAAATTAAGACAAAAATCAACAAATTCTTTGAAACCAATAAAAGCAAAAATACAACCTACAAGAATCTCTGGGACATATTGAAAGCAAAGTTAAGAAGAATGTTTACAGTGCTAAATTACCATATCAAAAAGTTAGAAAGGTCTCAAATTAAACACTTAACATTAACCATAGAAGAACTAGAGAATCAAGAGCAAACCAACCCCAAAGCTAGCAGAAGAAAAGAAATACCCAAAATTAGAGCTTAATGGAATGAAAATGGAGACATGCAAATTCATACAGAATATCAACCAAAACAAAAGTTGATTTTTTGAAATAATAAATAAGATTGTTAGACCACTAGCTAAACTAATACAGAAAAAAGACATAACATCCAAATAAAAATAACCAGAAATTAAGAAGTGGGCATTACCACTGACCCCACAGAAATATAAAGTACCCTCACAGACTATTATGAACACCTGTGTGCACACAAACTGGAAAGCCTAGCAAAAATGGACAGATTCCTGGAAACATGCAACCTCTCAATGTTGAACTGTGAAGAAATTGAATTCCTGACCAAACCAACTGGTTCTGAAATTGAATCACCAATAAAAAATCTACCAGCCAGAAAAAGCCCTGGACCAGATGTAGTCACAGCCAAATTCTATCAGACGTATAGAGAAGAACTGATACCAATCCTACTGAAACCATTCACCAAAAAACAAGGAGGAAAGACTCCTCCCTAACTCATTCTATGTGGCCAGAATTATTCTGATACCAAAACCTGGCAGAAAGACAATGAAAGAAGAAAACTACAGGCCAGTAGCCCCCATGAACATAGACGCAAAAATCCTCAACAAAGTACTAGCAAATAGAATTCAGCAACACATCAAAAAGTTAATCCACCACAATCTGGTAGGCTTTATTCATAGGATGCAAGGTAGATTCAAAATACACAAATTAACAAATGTGATTAATCACATAAACAGAACTTTAAGTTTAGTTTTTGTTTTTAACAAATATGACATGATCATCTCAATAGATGCATAAAAGGCTTTGGACAAAATTCAACATGCCTTTATATTATAAGAAAACCTCAACAAACCAGGCATTAAAGGAACACACCTAGAAAAATAAGGGCTATCTATGACAAACCCACAGCCACATCATACCAAATAAACAAAAGCTGGAAGCATTCCGTTTGAGAACCAGAAAACACAAGGATGTACACTCTCATTCCTATTCAACATAGTACTGGAAGTTCTAGCCAGAGCAATCAGAGAAGAGAAAAAAACGAAAGGCATCCAAATAGGAAGAGAGGAATTCAAACTATCTCTCTTGCCGAAGAAATGAGCCTGCAACTAGAAAACCCTACAGTTTCTGCTCAAAGACTCCTAGAGCTGATAAACAACTTCATAAATTTTCAGGATACAAAATCAATGTACAAAAATTGTAGTATATCTATACACCAACAATGTCCAAGCTGAGAGCCAAATCAAGAATACAGCCCCATTAACGATAGCCCCCCAAAATAAAATAAAATACTTAGGAATACATCTAAACAGGGAGACAAAAGATCTCTACAATGAGAATTCCAAAATACTGCTGAAAGAAAGCAGAGACAACACAAATAAAAATATATTTATGCTGATGGATAGAAAGAATGGATATTGTTAAAATTGCCACATTGCCTAAAAGCAAATTATAAATTCAATGTTATTCCAAAGTATCAATGATTTATTTACAGAATTAGAAAAATATCTACTTTAAAATTCATATGAAACTAAAAATATTCAAATAGCCAAAGCAATTTTAAGCAAAAATAATAAAGCCTAAGTCATCACACTACCCAAATTCAAACAATACTACAAGGTTACAGTAACCAAAACAACATGGTACTAGTACAAAAACAGACATATAAACCAATAGAACATGTTAGAGAAGCCAGAAATAAAGCTGCACACCTGCAACCATATGGTCTTCAACAAAGTTAGCAATAACAAGCAATGAGGAATGGAATCCCTTTTCAATAAATGGTACTGGGATAACTGGCTAGCCATATGCAGAAGATTGAAACTAGACCCTTTTCTTTCACGACATATAAAAATCAATCCACCATGGATTAAATATAAAAAATGTAAAACTATAAAAATCCTAGAAGAAAACCCAGGTAATACCCTGGACATAAATCCTGGAAAATATTTCATGATTAAGACTCCAAAAGCAATTACAAAAATATGACAAATAGATGCCTATCAACAGTGGACTAAATAAAGAAATGTGGTACATACCCACAATTGAATAATATGTAGCCATTAAAAAAAGAAATCATGTCCTTTGCAGCAGTATCAATGCAGCTGGGGGTGATAATCCTAAGCAAATGGACACAGGAATAGAAAACTAAATACCATGTGTTCTCACTTATAAGTGGGAGCTAAATTTTGAGTACACGTGGACACAGAGGGATAGTGGACATAAGGACTTACTTGAGGGTGGGATGTAGAAGGGGGTTAGCAGTGAAAAACTATCTATTGGCTACTATGCTCAATTTTGGGGTAACAAAATAATATGTACACCAAATGCCAGTAACCTGTGATTTACCCATGTAACAAGCCTGTACATGTACTCCAAAACCAAAAGTAAAAGTTGGAAGAAAAAAAAGCCCATGGGCAAAATGATGTTTTCTAAAAAAAGACAAAACACTGTCATTTTTAACTTTGTAGTTTTAAAAGAAGACGTTTATTAGCACCATGTAAATTCATAAAACAGTAATATTAGTAGAATGTGATTTAAGATAATTGTAGACATTTTCCAAAACAGTTATTATACCTGGTGTCATTTATACTGAACAAATATTTACAGACAAATCTTTATAAATGAGCAAGTTATATACAATATCAGTTCCTGTGATTTTCTCAATGAGGATATTAACAACTGTTACTAAAGCTATTTTACACTGTCCAATGTCCTAACACCTTGAAATTAAATGATGTATATCAATATCTTCCAACAGTGAAATGTATACTTAGGAGAAATATGTTACAATGAATGTCTATATAATTCAAAATGTGAACTGCTCACAGAGTGAAATTTACTCAAATTCAGAGATATGATTGAATTTTTGTTGTCAACTATGCTTATAACATGTTCCCTGTTATTTTAATGAATAGGATCATTGTAACTATTAGTATGCTATATGAATACATAATATTTTAATAATTACAATGATTAGACAATAAGCAATTACTCTCTACCTGTCTTAAAAACTAAGAAATACTAACTGACTATCTGCATTTTATCTATTAACTTAGATCTTTGTTTCTCAAATTTTAATGTAGAGGCCAAATATTTCATATGTATATATAGTTTATATTAACTTTAGATACTATTATATTTGTGCTTTTTTGAGTTTATGTATAGACAAATTGTACTGTTCTTCAGTGCAGATACTAATAATAGCAATCATCTTGAAAAAAACTCAAATGCTCCATTGAGTAAGAAATTTCTTTCTTGTAATGCACGGTATGCAATAGAAAAGCTATTATAACATTATACCATCAGAGCAGGAAGAACCTTAGAGACCAAGTAGTCCAACCCCCTCATTTTACACATGCAGCTGTGGGACCTCCGAAAGGTCAAGTGACTTGCCAAAGGTGACAGTACCAACAGTTAGTGGCTGAGCTAGAAACAGGGCTCTGTATTCCCAGTGTTATGTCAATGCTCTCTTTGCAAATGATTCTTAACGAACTTTATAGCCTCCAGTCATGCTCACAACCTATCCATTCTCTACACTGCTGCCAGAATGATCTTTCATGAATACAAATCTGACCAACTTCTTCCCCTGCTTAAAAGCCTTTAATCGACTTTATCACTCACAGAAGAGACTTCAAGTTTCTTAGAAGTGACTATAGGATTCTGATATCTGTTTGATTTTCTAGTTTATTCTCTCACTAATTCTTAGAATCTAGAACCTGACTCCTGCAAATGCATCATACTTTATCCCAAAATGATTTTGAATTTCTCTGAAGCTAAGAGCAAACTGTTTTTTTCCTTCTCTATTTTCTCTGATTCACTGAACATTTGTGACACCAGATGTGTGGGTGCTAACTAGCTGGACATTCTCAAGTTCAATTCAATTCTGTAACTATTTACCTGGAGATATCATCAGATTCCACAGGTTAATGGCTCAATCCCACAAGACTGCTCCCACTTCAGATACCAGTCACAAGCAGCAGGTTGTAGCCTGTGCTTCTGACCAATCAGCTGTAAACCACATTTTTCACAATGCTTGGCTTGGGTTTGATTAATTTGATAGAATGGTTCACAGAGCTTAGGGATTTACTTAGGTTTACCAGTTTACTTGAAAGGATATTACAAAGGATATGGATAAATGGCCAGATGGAAGAGATACACAGGGTGAGGTTATGTAGGAAGAGGCCTGTAGCTTCTGTGCCTTCTTCAGTACACCACCCTCAAAGCATGTCCATATGTTAAGCCATCTGGATGCTCTCTGAACCTCATCCTTTTGTGATTTGGAGGAAACTTAATCAACTGGGAATGGCTGATATATTATTGGCAATTGGTCATCAACTTAACCTTCAGCTTACTCCCTTGTGGATGTTGAGGGTTGAGTCTCAATGTCTCAAACCCCTAGTCATGCCTTGTTCTTTCTGGTGACCAGCCCCCATCCTGAAGCTCTTTAGGGTCCTCAGCCACCAGGCATGTCATTAGCATACAAAAGACACTCTGATAACTCCAAACATTCCAAGAGTTTAAGAAGATATATATCAGTAAACAGGGAAGACCAAACATGTATTTCAAAATATCACAATTTTAAAAAGCCACCTCCTTATTATCTCATTTTATTATTACATAGCAAACTTCAGAAACAGATTTTTGATTTTATAAAATAGAAGATATTTGTGTTGCTCAAATATATACATCTGATTATTGACTGATTGAAAAGGAAAACCTACATCATTTTTCTCTTGGTATCTTTACAATGATTACCATAATTACTAACAGAAAAATCAAAAGCATTAATTTATTAATATAATAAACCACATTTAAAGTAGTTATGCATAAATTTAGATTTCACTAAGAACTTGATTCTTAAGTAAAATCAATGTATATCCTTTTTTAAATTAAAAAAAACATGTTTACTTACACAGATCAGACACCCTGTATGGGTACTGTGTAAGCAAGGTATGAGACTAGTTTTACAAGAAGCTCTTGTTGACTCTATAAGTCACATTTGATTCTTTAAAGGAAAACAACTCATTCCCATAAAAGCCTTGGTAAAATAACCAGTGTCTCTAATTATGTCCTGTTACAAAATAAGATGAATTCTTATTGCACTTATGCAAATAAGTATATTGCCATAAGTCAATAATACTCACAAATAGTTTCCAAATTTGGGAGAAATCTGGTAAAGAGAAATATGCTCCAAATTTTTTTCATAGGAGTGTACTTTACTCATCTGTTAAAAGCTGTGAATAGAAGGATTATTTCAGTGTTCTATTAGTTCAGTCCACACAGTTAATTCCTGTTCTGCTTGATATTCATAAACATTTCAGCTCTCCATGAGAACCTTGAAAGTTTTTCTCCATTCTAATGTCACAATTTCTGAAGTTATCAGAAATGGGCAATTCAGAGCAGCAGTTAGTGTCCTATCATTGATTATAAAACCATCTATTAAAGATGATTAAAACAAGACAACAATTGTCTGGGGATGACAAGAAGTCTTAAGGAAGCAACAGTCAAAGACACAATGGACAAGGAAATTTGTAACCTCTTTGGCACACAATAATTTAACATAACAATTATAATTATTACTGATAACGTATACTAAGTTATATTAGAATCATAGGAGTTTTGCATAATTTTGGAACATGTACCATTAACACATTTATAAAGAGCAGATTAATGTTTTAATAAAACTCTGTTGTGCTTTTATTCTAATGTGTGAATTATGGAAAAACTGAATAATACCCCTTTAACATTAGCCGATATACACACAGAATCTCTTTTACATGGTTAATTTTCAGAAACCTTCCATAACTTGCTTAAACCTTCAGGTTTATCCTATCTAACCTAACACAATCCTTTAGACTTCTAAACTAGGCAAAAAACATTCACATTCCAAAACTTTATTATAATCTTTTACCAAAAGCACATTTTAATTTACTTACATGGCTTGCATGTAAAACTATTTTTCCAGTAGTCTCAAGTACATGTTACACTGTTAACTCTTAGACTTTTACTTTTTTTGAAAAACTTGATAAGTGACTTCTTCTAATTATATACTAGCTTTGGAGCCTCGGACACCAGACAGAAGTGCAGATAAGGTTTGACTCTTTCTAGCATAGCTAGGGGGCATGATTAACTTTGTATGTCCCCAGGTCTTACCAAGCTTTAAAGCACACAAGTTTTACAGTTCAGAGCCATAGTAGGAGTTTATGACTTTAAAACATTTGCTAGACCTAATACCCTTTAAAACTACATTTTTATAAATTATCTTTCATAAATCTTTTTACAACTTACACATACCATCTGCCACATGCTTGGACTTTCTGACTTCCCCTAAACAGCTCTCTTTTTAAACAATCAGTCATTTTACTTTAGGAAAATAATTTGCCATACATGATCCTTTCTCACATAAAATCTTTTTTTCTTTATTTTTTTTTTACAAAAATACCTCTTTACCTTTATTACCCTTGAACTAGACAAAAGTCATTTTCCTTCTGTTAGGAAGTTATGGTTTGTATTGCATGTTGCTGTGTGAGTTTTGTGAAGGGGGAGCAGATATGTATTGTAGAAGTTATCACCCCTCAAGAAATTGCTTAATTAGATTTTTGCTAAGGCTTGTCTAGATAAGAGTAGGCTATTTCTAAACTCCTGAAGTAGAACTGTCCAGGTAAAAGTCATTGGTTAAAGATTTAGGCACCTTTCCCAGGTGTAAATCAAAAATAATATTCTAAGACCCCCCCCCCCACCCCGAACAATCTGAATGGACTTTCTCCTCAGCCAGGGCTGTTTTATAATTTAACCTGAAAGACTGTTTCAGGCCATGACAGGAAGTGGCAATTGAACATGCCTCATTATACCTCTCCAGCATTAACATCAACACAGACTTTAAGTCTGATAAGAAACATTTTACAACCTATTCTCTCTGATGCCTACTATCTTCATGAAGTCTTCCTCTGCAAATATAAACTTCAGTCTCCACAACCTCTTATCTTAACCCAGACATTCCTTTCTACTGATCCCAGTGATGTGAGATATTTCTCATTCCCTGTGCCAACTTAGGACCTCCACGGCCAGTGACACACCCCTGCCGCAGCCTTGCTGGGCCCCAAGCCTGCTGCTGGAGGTGACTCACCCACTAGGCCTGCCTGTGTTATAGATTGTACCTGTGTTTGCCAGTTTCCAAGCTCTTGTCCTGCATCCAAGAAGAATGAGATTGCACTGACAATTAGAAGAGTGAGGATGGGTGGAGAAGAATTTTATTGAATGATGAAGAGCTGTAAGCAAAGAGGGGATGTAATGGGTGGCCCCCCTTCCCACCAGTTGGGTGGGTTTCTTTCTCAGTGTGGCTAGATATGGGGTTTTTTTATGGACTTGGAATGGGGAGTGTATGATGATTGGTTTGTGAGTAGGCAAAAAAGGTTAAGTGAAGACACCACTCAAAGGTGGGCACAACAGCATAGAAAACCAATTAGGAAAGGGTAGGTAAATGTAAAATAGGTAAAAAGTGGGGATCAATCAGAAGAAAGCATGCCAAATGGGAAGTCAGGTTCTCAGTCCAGTCTGTAGATTTGACTTATAGCTTGGCTTTCAGGCTTTAAACTGTCTTCAGATTGGAGGTGGGGATTCATCAGGGAGTCACCCCTATGTGCATAGGCATTTGTCTGTCTCTTGCTGCTATCACCAGGTCTTTAGATAAACTCAACAAATTGTCAACCATGCAATTTTTAAATCTACCTATAAGCTGAAGCCCCCCTTGCTCAGAGTTGTCCCAGGTTTCCGGACCAAACCAATGTATTTCTTACATGTATTTGATTGAAGTCTCATGTCTCCCTAAAATGTATAAAACCAAGCTGCACCCTGACCACATTGGGCACATGTTTTCAGAACCTCCTGAGGGCTGTGTCACAAGCCATGGTCATTCCAATATTTTAGAGTTTGATTTTTCATTGACACAGGAGAAATAGGGATATTAAAGAGAAAGACAATTTAGAGGTCAGGTAAATATTAAGCAGTCACCCTTCTTGAAAAGTATATTTTTGCCCCAAGGGGTGTGAATATTTTCTTTTGGAGGGAGTGAGTGCCATTTGTTCCCATTACCCAAAAAGATTGGGAGGAACTGCTTAGAAAAGGATATGAACACAAAGTATGCAGCTCTTGAACCCAAAAGGTAAACTTATAATTTTACTTGCTGCTTCCAGAGTTGATCTTGGCTTTGTCCTGTTGATGAAGATGTCTAATCTGGGAACAGGCTGGAGCCAAAAGTCCCTTCAGCTTGAGGCTATCAAGTGTTGGTATTCTGTGACCCATTCCAATGACAAACTTGTGGCAGAGGGAGCAAGCACTGTGGGGTTTTTTCCTATTAATCCCATTGGTACAGTTTGCCTTCCAGTGGCCTGCTTCCAGCACAAATGGCAGATACTTGGAGAGTGTCCTTAGGGCAACCTGAAGGGGGCTGGTGAGCTTACATAGCAGCCAATAGTTAAGCCTGCCTCTCACTGTTTTTACCTTTTTCTTAGCCCTTCCGTCCTTATTCAACTTTCAGTTACAAAAGACTGAGGAGGCTAATCTGAGGGCCTCCTTCACAGGGGCACCGGATTCCAAAGCTGACTGTTGTAATTTCCTTCTGATTCACTTTTTAGGTCAAACAGTATTACAAAGTAAAACTAGTTTTTGTGTATTAAGGTTTGGGGGAATCAAACTTTCCTAGTTTGGGGTGATGCCTCTGAGGGGCATGTCCTGTGGTATATGCAATCACCATCTGAGAAGAGAAAACAGAAGAGAAAAAAATGAAAAATGATGGTCTCCTCTCTTATCCCAGAACCAACCTTCATCTCTGTCTTATGGGTCTTTTTTACCTGTGGCCTTGGGCTGGCCTATATCCTTGTCTCTATGACCTTACAGTGACTCTTGCTTGGAGCATTCTAGCAACAAAACGTTTATCTCTTTTCTCAGATTCTCATTTACTATGTTATTTAAGTAGATGAGAAGCCTGTTTTTCAGCTAACTGCTACAGGGGGCTGGACTACCTTCCTTTTGAATATAAACTTTAAGTCTTAATGCATACTGAGAAGGGTGTGGAAGTGATTAGAGAGATGGAGGCTACAGAATGAAGTGGGAGGAAGCCAGAGGAACACTCATTGAAAGCCTTCATGTGCTCACAAAAGCAGCAGCCCTTATATTGGAGAAGGCAATGTTTATGTGCCCTCTTGACATAAAGTAGTAACCTCAGGAGGATGTAGGGCTTCAGGTAGGAACACACAAATGACAAAATAAGAATTTCCCCTCCTCTCAAAGGGGTGTTAACTCTAAAACAAACAAAACAAACAAATAAAAAAAAAACAAGAAGCTGGGGTCCTTAAAGGACCACTGAGTGAGGCACTATTGCAGCCAGACAAACTCTTTCAAAAGCCGCCACAAAACACAGCCCTGGGGCATATCACTAATGAAAAACTTGCTCCTTTAAATAGTAAGTCATAAGGATCTGGTAGAGTCAAGGTTCTGATTAGTGTCTATCTGGGCAATGTGCTAGCAGACAGGGGAAGGGTTGGAAAGTCATCTGAGCTGGTAGGGTAGAAGAGGTATAAACCTCAGGGGATATCCACAAGGGAGCCCATGTCTTTGCCTCTGAGCACACTAAGGGCTGCAGGTGCATAAATAACAGGGAGTAAGTATATTTCAGCCAGAGAACAAAGTCATGCATCATGCAAAGCAAAACCAGAGAAGAGGCAAACTTGCCCCCAAGGCAAAAGTCTGGCAGGTACATGAGGTAATTTCAGAATACACACAGATAAAACAGAAGAATAGGCAGTGAAGGTTTTTAGGAAAGAGCCAATTTATTTGAAAAAGTAGAGGAAACCCCAGACATTGAACAATCTCAGACTCTTTTTATTTTTTATTTTTATTTTTGAATTGGATTTTTGCTCTGTAGCCCAGGCTGAAGTGCAGTGGCAAGATCTTGGGTCACTGCAGCCTCTGCTTCCCAGGTTCAAGCTATTCTCCCACCTCAGCCTCCCAAGTAGCTGGGATTACAGTCATGTGCCACCATGCCCAGCTAATTTTTTTTTTTGTATTATTAGTAGAGATGGGGTTTCACGATGTTGGCCAGGCTGGTCTTAAACTCCTGGCCTCAAGTGACCCACTCACCTTGGCCTCCCAAAGCGCTGAGATTACAAGTGTGAGCCATGTCACCTAGCTGTCACAGTCTCAGACTTTATCCCTACCACTCTTGCAAATCTCCTGTCAGGGAGAGCCATTAGTATCTCAGTTCTACTCAGCAAAGACCTCAAGGTCCTTCTTACCCCTGGGAGCCAGCCATCAGGGTGAACTGAGAGATCAGCCTAAGGAAGCAGAGCCACTGAATCCAAGAGTAATCCTTCTGGGGGTTGGTTAATAAGCAGGAGAGTGAAAGGAGAAGGAAACCACATATGGGAGTTGAATATCTCCAGCTGAAGAAGGCAAGATGTAGACATGACTTACCACTAGGTAATATACCCAAGTCAGCAGCAGAACATATCCAACTCACGTGGTACCAAAGTACTTTAGCAATAGGGAATGTATCCAAGTCACACATCACCCAAGTATGTTACTGGTGGCAAATCCATACAGATCTACTGCAACCTCAATTCTTGCCTCCTCGGAAGAAAGAATTCAACCAAGGGACATAAGGCAGAGTGAGAGACTGAGGCAAGTTTTAGAGCAGGAGTGTAATATTATGAGAAAGCTTTAGAGCAGGAACAAAAAGAAGTAAAGGACATTTGGTAGAGGTCCAAGTTGGCAACTTGAGAGATCAAGTGCATTGTTTGACCTTTGACATGGGGGTTTTATATGTTGGCATGTTTCTGGGAAGTTGTGTTTTTTCTCCCCTGATTCTTCCCTTGAGGTGAGCTGTCCATATGGGCAGTGGTTTGTCAGCACTTGGGAGGAGCGGGATGTGCCCTGTGTTTACTGGATTTGTATACACATGCTCACTTGGGGCATTTTTCCCTTACAGTCAAGTGTTCCTATAAGGTCAGATACCAGTAAAACTGCCATTTTGCCTCTTAGTTCACATGCATGAGCACACTTGCCCAGTCTTGAGAATCTTATCTGGAAGCTACTGATCGCAAGCTTTAGATTTTTCCTATCTACTGGGAGACAGTCTTTCCCTGGTGTCTGCTGCGACCAATTATTTTAGAGAGACAGGTAACAACCGCGTGACAATCTCTTGATGGTCTCCCCACATTCCTGGCTAGGAGGGCCCTCTCCTGCCCTGCTCATGTCTGACTAGCTACCTACTGTAATATTTGTAATGATAGGAGACATCTAGATAATGTGTCACAAGTAAACAGTTAATTCGAATTGATCGTGACCACAGTTAGAATTACAATTGGTTACTATAAAAAGGATTTTTCTTCAGAAAACCAATTCAAGTATGTTAATGTAAGGTTTAGATTCAATTTTAAGAAAGTTAAGAGAAATATTTATTAAATAAATTTGCTTGATATGCATTTGATGTCTTATGTATGTGGAATGTTTTTGTAAGCAGTTTTCTTTCTTTCATATTTTCTGTCTAAAGCTCTAGTACTCAAATGATTTTTAAAAAGAACAAAACTTATCAAATTCATTAGAAAGTAAATGAGTAATAAATATTTGATTTTGTTAAGTGATACACTAAATGATACATTCAAAATGAAAGCTATCTTTGTTATTTTTTAATAGCATGGATCTCTGAAGAATCAGTAAATTACCTTGTTTACAAAAATGTTTAAAACAATTTTGTACTTGTAAATAAACCAAGAAATATAATATATGAGAAGACAGTTTTGAAAATCAAGTATTATAAACATAAGATACATTGAATATGAAAGATAATGGATCTACAAAAGATTCTTTAAAATAATAAAGTATTTCATAGGTATGATAGTTTATTTTTATTTTATTTATAAATATATTTATTACTGTGATTAGTTGAGTTTTTCAAAAACAGATTTTATTAAAATTTTTATTTTACCACCCTACTAACTAACCAAGGTAATGTAAACTTAAACAAAGCAATGATTATTTCAGACATTTATCACTGTGGCCAAAATCAGAGGAATATTGTGAAATAAATTATTCACTGGATCCTGTGAGAGATATACCGCAATTATATGCAAGATTGGGATAAATTTTTGAAAATACATTTTAAAAAGTTTAAATTCAGGATTTTAAAATTATTTAAGTAAAAAATAAAATTTGATTTTTAACACATTTCATCAGTGGATGTGTCAATGCTTTTTCCAATAATTTTAAAATATTTAAAACATTGGCTTAAGTTTGTGTTAGAGTTACCACTGTCAACACATAAGTAAAAAAACTGACCAACAAAAACTTTCTTAAATAAAGCATCTATCTTTAAAGAATTGCATTTAATTTCGCAAATGTAGTCTTTTAATATTTACTTGGTATATAACCAAGTAAACATATCTCATATGTTAAACATATAAAAGGCATTTGCAGAAAATAGTGAAGACTTGTTCCATTAAGCTTCCCTACTGTATGATAATCTACTATTCAAAAATTCAAACTTCTAAAATAATGTTTTAGGTCCTTTGGATTCTTCACTGTACATTACATAGTCTACATTTTTTATATGACACAGGAACACAAAGAATTATAGATAAATAAAAATACAGCAATACACCTCAGAACCTGAGAATCGACATATGATATTTATGACTTTAAGAAAGTCTTAGTTTCTTAATCTCCCTCGTTTTTGCGATATTATCATATGAAACACTTAGGGCAAATTACTTTTAAGGCCATTTGCCAGTTCCCATTATGACATGAGTTTACAATTATTCTTTTTTTTATTATTATTACACTTTAAGTTTTAGGGTACATGTGCACAATGTGCAGGTTAGTTACATATGTATACATGTGCCATGCTGGTGTGCTGCACCCATTAACTCGTCATTTAGCATTAGCTATATCTCCTAAACCTATCCCTCCCCCTCCCCCCACCCCGCAACAGTCCCCAGAGTGTAGTATTCCCCTTCCTGTGTCCATGCATTCTCATTGTTCAATTCCCACCTATGAGTGAGAACATGCGGTGTTTGGTTTTTTGTCCTTGCTATAGTTTACTGAGAATGATGATTTCCAATTTCATCCATGTCCCTATAAAGGACATGAACTCATACTTTTTTATGGCTGCATAGTATTCCGTGGTGTATATGTGGCACGTTTTCTTAAACCAGTCTATCATTGTTGGACATTTGGGTTGGTTCCAAGTCTTCGCTATTGTGAATAGTGCCTCAATAAACATACGTGTGCATGTGTCTTTATAGCAGCATGATTTATAGCCCTTTGGGTATATACCCAGTAATGGGATGGCTGGGTCAAATGGTATTTCTAGTTCTAGATCCCTGAGGAATCTCCAAAATGACTTCCACAATGGTTGAACTAGTTGACAGTCCCACCAACAGTGTAAAAGTGTTCCTATTTCTCCACATCCTCTCCAGCACCTGTTGTTTCCTGACTTTTTAATGATTGCCATTCTAACTGGTGTGAGATGCTATCTCATTGTGGTTTTCATTTGCATTTCTCTGATGGCCAGTGATGGTGAGCATTTTTTCATGTGTTTTTTGGCTGCATAAATGTCTTCTTTTGAGAAGTGTCTGTTCATGTCCTTTGCCCACTTTTTGATGGGGTTTTTGTTTTTTTCTTGTAAATTTGTTTGAGTTCATTGTAGATTCTGGATATTAGCCCTTTGTCAGATGAGTAGGTTGCGAAAATTTTCTCCCATTTTGTAGGTTGCCTGTTCACTCTCATGGTAGTTTCTTTTGCTGTGCAGAAGCTCTTTAGTTTAATTAGATCCTATTTGACAATTTTGGCTTTTGTTGCCATTGCTTTTGGTGTTATAGACATGAAGTCCTTGCCCATGCCTATATCCTGAATGGTAATGCCTAGGTTTTCTTCTAGGGTTTTTATGGTTTTAGGTCTAATGTTTAAGTCTTTAATCCATCTTGAATTAATTTTTGTATAAGGTGTAAGGAAGGGATCCAGTTTCAGCTTTCTACATATGGCTAGCCAGTTTTCCCAGCACCATTTATTAAATAGGGGATCCTTTCCCCGTTGCTTGTTTTTCTCAGGTTTGTCAAAGATCAGATAGTTTTAGATATGCGGCATTATTTCTGAGGCTCTGTTCTGTTCCATTGATCTATATCTCTGTTTTGGTACCAGTACCATGCTGTTTTGGTTACTGTAGGCTTGTAGTATAGTTTGAAGTCAGGTAGTGTGATGCCTCCAACTTTGTTCTTTTGGCTTAGGATTGACTTGGCGATGTGGGCTCTTTTTTGGTTCCTTATGAACTTTAAAGTAGTTTTTTCCAATTCTGTGAAGAAAGTCATTGGTAACTTGATGGGGATGGCATTGAATCTATAAATTACCTTGGGCAGTATGGCCATTTTCACGATATTGATTCTTCCTACCCATGAGCATGGAATGTTCTTCCATTTCTTTGTATCCTCTTTTATTTCCTTGAGCAGTGTTTTGTAGTTCTCCTTGAAGAGGTCCTTCACGTCCCTTGTAAGTTGGATTCCTAGGTATTTTATTCTCTTTGAAGCAATTGTGAATGGGAGTTCACTCATGATTTGGCTCTCTGTTTGTCTGTTATTGGTGTATAAGAATGCTTGTGATTTTTGTACATTTATTTTGTATCCTGAGACTTTGCTGAAGTTGCTTATCAACATAAGGAGATTTTGGGCTGAGACACTGGGGTTTTCTAGATATAAAATCATGTCATCTGCAAACAGGGACAATTTGACTTCCTCTTTTCCTAATTGAATACCCTTTATTTCCTTCTCCTGCCTGATTGATTGCTCTGGCCAGAACTTCCAACACTCTGTTAAATCGGAGTGGTGAGAGAGGGCATCTTGTAATCCAGCATATAAACAGAACCAAAGACAAGAACCACATGATTATCTCAATAGATGCAGAAAAGGCCTTTGACAAAATTCAACAACCCTTCATGCTAAAAACTCTCAATAAATTAGGTATTGATGGGATGTATCTCAAAATAATAAGAGCTAACTATGACAAACCCACAGCCAATATCATACTGAATAGGCAAAAACTGGAAGCATTCCCTTTGAATACAATTATTCTTTTACAAAATGATTTTCTCCATAATTCCCACTAATAATGCAGTTATTAAATGTTGATTTAGAGAAGCTTAACTGTTTACAAAATGATTATTGAAGATTCCTGCCTTTAAATCTTAATAGTCACATACAACAAAATAGAGAACTACAAAAAGAAATATTCAATATGAAGTTATTAACAGCAAACCATTTTTTGTAAAAATTAATTTTGAAACTAACTTTTTTGGTATATAAAACTCTTATAAATCTTAATAATTTCTTTAATACGAATGCAAGCTTTTGAAAATATTTTAATAAATGTCTCCAATATTCTGGTCTAATGTATTTCCATAATGCTACAATTTTAATAACATTGAAAATAGAGAAAATTTAAATGTATTTGAAGGTAATATACACGTAATTCAAAAATCTGTATATTATTGTATCAGCCCATTCTCAAACTGCTAATAAAAACATACCAAAGACTGGATAATTTATAAAGGAAATAGGTTTAATGGGCTCAGAGTTCCAAGAGCTGAGTAGGCCTCACAATCATGTTGGAAGATGAAGGAAGAGCTAAGTGACCTCTTAAATGGTGGCAGGAAAGAGAACATGTTCTGGGGAACTCCCCTTTATAAAACCATCAGATTTTGTGAGACTTATTCACTATCACAAAAGCAGCACCCACCCCCATGATTCAATTTCCTCCTGCTGGGTCCCTCCCAAACACATGGGAATTATGGGAGATATAATTCAAGATAAGATTTGGATAGGGACACAGTCATACCATTCTGCCCCCATCCCCTCCCAAATGTGTTGTCCTCACATTTCAAAACCAATCATGCCTTCCCAACAGTCTCCCAAAGTCTTAACTCATTAAGCATTAACTCAAAAGACCACAGTCTAAAGTCTCATCTGAGACAAGGCAAGTCCCTTCTGCCTACGAGCTGTAAAATCAAAAGCAAGTTAGTTACTTCTTAGATACAATGGAGGTACAGGCATTGGGAAAACACACTCATTCAAAATGGGAGAATTTGTCCAAAACAAAAGGGCTACATGCCCCATGCAAATCTGAAATCTAATAGGGCAGTTATTAAAGTTCCAAAATAATCTCTTTGAACTCCGTGTCTAACATCCACATCACGCTGATGCAAGAAGTGGGCTCCCACAGCCTTAGGCAGCTCCTCCCCTGTGGCTTTGTAGCATACAGCCCCCTCCTGGCTGCTTTCATAGGTTGGCATTGAGTGTTTGTGGTTTTTCCAGAAGCACAGTATAAGCTGTCGGTGGATCTCTCATTTTGGGGTCTGGAGGATGATTGCCCTCTACTCACAGCTCCACTAGGCAGTGACCCAGTGGGAACCCCGTGTGGGGTCTCCAACCCCACTTTTTGCTTCCCCATTGCCCTACTAGAGGTTCTCCATGAGGGTCCTGCCCCTGTAGTCAATATTTGCCTGGACATCCAGGCATTTCTCTACATCTTCTGAAATCTACGCGGAGGTTTCCAAACTTCAATTCTTGACTTCTGTGCATCAACAGACTCAACACCATGTAGAAGCTGCCAAGACAGCAGCGGGGCCCTGGGCCCAGCTCACAAAACCAATTTTTCTCCTAGGCTTCTGGGCCAGCAATGGATGGGCTGCCATGAAGTTCTTTGACATGCCCTTGAGACATTTTCCCAATTGTCTTGGCAATTAACATTTGGCTCCTTGTTACTTACGCAAATTTTTGCAGCAGGCTTGAATTTCTCCCCAGAAAATGGGTTTTTCTTTCCTATCGCATCATCTGGCTTCGAATGTTCCAAACTTTTATGCTCTGTCACCTCTTAGACTCTTTGCTGCTCAGAAATTCCTTCCACCAGATACCTCAAATCATCTCTCTCAAGTTCAAAGTTCCACAGATCTCTAGGGCAGGGCCAAAATGCCACTAGTCTCTTTGCATAGCAAGAGTGACCTTTAAACAAGCTCTTCTTTGCCATCTGAGACTACCATAGCCTGGACTTTATTGTCCATATCACTATCAGCATTTTGGTCAAAGCCATTCAACAAGTCTCTAGGAAGTTCCAAGCTTTCCCAGATTTTCCTATCTTCTTCTGAGCCCTCCAACCTGTTCTAACCTCTGCCTGTTACCCAGTTCTAAAGTTGCTTCCACATTTTCGGGTATTTTTATAGTAGCACCCCACTCTACTGACACCAATAGTCTGTTCTCATGCTGCTAATAAAAAATACCCAAGACTGGGCAATTTATGTAGGAAAGAGGTTTAACGGACTCACAGTTCCACATGGCTGGGGAGGCCTCATAATCATGGCAGAAGATGAAAGAACAAAGGGATGTCTTACATGGTGTCAGGCAAGAGAGCTTGTGCAAGGGAACTGCCCTTTATCAAACCAACAGATCTCGTGAGACTTATTCACTATCACGAGAACAGCACTGAAAAGACCTGTCCCCATGATTCAATTACCTCCCACCGAGTTCCTCTGATAACACATGGAGATTTTTACAATTCAAGATAAGATTTGGGTGGGAACACAGCCAAACCATATCAACTACCGAAGCTAGCCTTTCTTAGATTAATATAGCAAAAGAGCATGTCTTTTATAGCAATTCAGAGCAAAGCTTATTTTATGATTCTGGCACTTGGCTGCCTATGTTAACTATACCTGTTAGGGCCTCAGGATCCTTGGTTGGGAAAGCGGGACAATAATACTCACCTCTGATTTGTTTTCTTTTTTGTTTAAATAAGAAATTGCAGATGATGAAGTATTTGGCCCATTTCTATTTCTACCTTTGCTTTTTGGTTACAATTCCAATTATATGTGCCCGTAGTATTTTAATATCTCACATATAGTATCTTTGCTTTTGATCTCCTTCCTTTTCTTCTAATTAATTTTGTAAACTAGTATCTAATTATTATCTCACAGACACAAGTTAGACTAAGTTACATTTTTTATCAAATATTGATGCCTGAAGGCCCTCCAAAATATATAAAACATTCTTATCCTAAGAGTTAAGGTTCTTTACAATCTAAAGTTACTTTACAGTTAGTTTCCTTTGATCACTAGAGGTGCAATAAAATTCAACAATGGTTGTTGTGAAAATGGGACAAAGACTAGTCTTCAGTCTTTGTTCGCATCATTACTTCAAATAATTTCTGCCAAGTTTTTATGTCATATTCATTAATGCTTGCTTCAAAAATGGCATATTTTGGTATAAAGCCTTCCCACTTAAAATAATTAGTGAGTAACCTATTACCTTAGAATATTTTTTGCACTCAATTACAAAATATCACTTTTTATCTTTAATCACAATTATTTATTAAGAAACCTTAACATTTATACCAGATTGAAAGACAGAAAATGCTTAATTCAATTTCATACTTTCTTCTTTTTTTATGACACAATACTATAAAAATATACTTGTCTTAAATCTTGCATGACTTTAATACCAAAACGAAAATAGTGTGTAGAAAATGTGTAAAATATAATGCACCAAAAAACCTTTTTCACGGTGGAAACTCTTTATAAATTTATTTTAGTGAAACAGTGATTTTTCAAATATAAGGTATGTGATAATACCCAAAAGCCCCTTTGACCAATAAGAATACTTTAAAGAAAATAATTTTAAATATTAAGTATTTATATTATTGGTAATCTTCCCAATAGAGGACTCAAATACTTAGCTATACCTTCACTTTCATTTTCTCTGAGAAAAAAGTTTATAATGAAATTGTTAAAAAGCCTTACCAGAGTATAAAATTTGCATGCACAAGATGTTTGGCTCTTCACTCTGAGAAGTGTACGATCAAGTACATTTTCTAACATAACTGTTCATTTGTTATCCATTCAAATTCTTAGGTCTTGTATACAGAGGAAATTACACGACATAAAGTGTCCTTGAAAATTGCTCCTTCCTTCCTGTAAGTTTCTGTATATTAGTTACTTGACTCTGGGCTTTCGTTCTAACATGCTGAGAATATCAATAGCGCCCAATAAAGATTACATTTGAAAACAAGGAGAGGAAAACTCTATATGAGAGAAATGCAAGAAGAATAAAAGAAAACTTAGAATGAGTAAAATTGCATGTCTGAGAAATGATGTTGAACTGAATTAGGATTATAAGTGTGAGTAAAAATCTGTGGTCTTAACACTCAGAAGAGCAATGGTCCAAAGCAATAATGATAACAGAAATAAACATTCTGAAATATCTGCCTGCAAATGAATGGTGACATTATTCAACACAAGTTCACAACCAAAACCCCTTTATTGGGGCTACAAACATGAGAAATAACACTCGACTATATCTGAGCTTGGGGTTCTTTACCAAAGATACATGACAGCAATAGTGGCCCACCATGGGAGACGGGAGGGTGGGAACCAATTCTGGGGCAATATTTATTCACCATAAAAAATAATGACTGAAATCTTGGAAATCCACCACGAAGTATCCCTTAAAAAATTAACTAACAATTGAGAATTACAAGTATGTGAAAAAAACCCGCACAGTGAAATACCAAAAATAAAATCATAGAATAATTTACTCATAAGTAGAGTTAATAGAGTAATATGAAAGCTATTTTACATAAGTAAATTTGACATATTCAAGGAATTGAACGAGGCTAGCAATTACAAAATAAAATTTTAAAAATTATCAAATGCAAAAATTAGAAGAAGAAAAGTAATTATATCTCAAATGGAAAAAATACATTCATTGAGATAAATATTAATAAAAGGAAAAACCATATACTAAATAGAGATGAGCTGTGAACTGAAAAATTATACAAAGAAACCTAGTGGAGAACATTTATCATATAATAGCAAATAAGCATACAATAGGAAATAATATTTTAAAATGAGTATAATAAATGAAAAGACAAATATTATTTTAATCTTCTTTTCAGAAAAATGACAAAGATGAAGTTGGATAGTCAATATTTAAAGAGCTAATATCTGAGAAAATTTCAGAACATCAGGAACAAAGTAAAAAATAAGAATGCTAAAGTGTGCCAACAAGAATAGACAGATTAAGGCGGGGCGTGGTGGTTCACGTCTGTAATCCCAGCACTTTGGGAGGCCAAGGTGGGCAGATCACGAGGTCAGGAGATCGAGACCATCCTGGCTAACACGGTGAAACCCCGTCTCTACTAAAAATACGAAAAATTAGCCGGCACGGTGGCGGGTGCCTGTAGAGGCTGAGGCAGGAGAATGGCGTTAACCCGGGAGGCGGAGCTTGCAGTGAGCCAAGATCGCGCCACTGCACTCCAGCCTGAGCAACAGAGCCAGACTCCGTCTCAAAAAAAAAAAAAAAAAAAAAAAAAAAAAAAAAAAAAAAAAAAAAAAAAAAAACAGAATACACAGATTAAACACCATGGAATGGGAATCATATTGACATTAGATTTTTGACATTATAATAGAACCTGGATTACAATGGAGTACTATCTTAAAATAATGAAACAAATAGTTTATAGCCTAGAATTCTATATTCAGCCAAACTATAATAATGAGTTTGAAATATTTTTAAGACATACAAGATATCAGAAAACTAATTTGCTGTATAACTTTGCAGCAAAAACTCCTTTAGCAAGGAAAAAATTAGGAAGGAAAAAATTTAGCAAGGAAAAAATTGGCATAAAAACTCAGACGGTATTCTGGTTTCACCAAAATGCTGAATTCATGCATGATTCTTATCCACCTTCTTCAAGATTAACCCAGAAGAACAAAGAAACAACATGCCAAGGAAAGAAAATACACCTCCCCCCACCCATACACACACACAGGAGGTAGTGAGGGATATTTTCAACTTAAATATCTGGGTAAGTGGGGTTGGCTTGAGATAAGAGGAATCTTTGGAAGATAAAGCATGCTCAGATTTCTCCTCACATTGCTTGCCTCCCCACCAGTAATAATTTGGGACTGTGTTAAAATTTCTTCATAATAAAATCTGGGCACACAGAAACCCAGTGACTATGTAAAGATTTAAGAAAAATACCTGAAGATTGTTCACTTTAAATAATTTCCCGCTCCTTCCTTTCCAATTTCAAAGAAGTGGGGAATTACCATTTACGGATTATCTTCTAATTATTTGGCTGAAACTCACTATTAAGTGTCTTGATCTCACACACATTTCTTGCATTTCCATCTATTGTCTCATGCCCTTAACCCAAGAGAAAACTAGTTGGGGGAGCCCAGGTAAAGTATATTATAAAAATTAAATTATTTAAGAAGAAAAACCAAATTTTTGATGGCAATTCTACCAGAAGCAAAATCATTATAATAGAAAAAACAATAATTAAAAACGAGGCCAATGTATGTACTAAAAAGAGAAAATATTAGAAATACGCAACAAGAAAACTCAGCAGAAATATTAAGTATGAAGAGATAATAGTTGAAGTAAAAAAACATTAGATGAAATATAAAGGTGAATAGATACATTTGAGGAAGTACATAATTGGAAGTCGATATTACACAAAACTCTGAAGGAAGAGAAAGAGAAAACATAAAAGCAAAGACACGTAGTGAAGATAAAAGTAGGGGTGCTAACAGCTATGAAATAGGAGTCAGAGAAAAATAACTGATTATGGAAATAAATATTTAAGAACAAATGAAGATAGTTTCTCAATTAAAAATTGATCAATTGTATATTGACAAATTCTGCAGTGTGAACGCCACATATAAAAAAGAAAAAAAAGTAGATACTCTACATTATAGCTTTGAACTATACTTTTAATTTTTTACCTTAATTTCCAGGATACATATGCAGAATGTGCAGATTTGTTACATAGGTATACATGTGCCATGGTGGTTTGCTGCACCTATCAACCTGTCACCTAAGTTTTAAGCCCCACATGCATTAGCTGTTTATCCTGATGCTCCTCCTCCACTCTCCCCTCCCATGACAGGCCCCAGTGTTTGTTGTTCTCCTCCCAGTGTTCATGTGAACAATATAATTTCTTTAAAATAGGAAACTACAAAACTATACATTATAGAAAAATATACAAAGCATATGCATTTAAAAAGAAACAAAGATGATATTGGGATCTAATTTTTCAATTGTAATATTGGATGTAAATCAATCAGATAATGTATTTCATCAAATAAAGAACAAGTACATATAAAATACAATCTGGTTACAGTAATTCAAATATAGAAGAATTATCAAAGTATTTTTGGCATACTAAATCTCATAATATTTCACTCTCAAAAAATCATATTTTGAAGCAGGCCTTGATCACATGTTTGAAGTGGAAGAGAGGTGACATTCAAGCTGTGACATGAGATAGAATACTTTCCCATTATCCACAGGGGATACATTCTGAGACCCCCACTGGATGTCTGAAACCATGGGTAGTAATGAACCCTATATATTATTAAGATTTTTTCCTATATATACATAAAGTTTAATTTATAAATTCTGCAGAATAAAGTTTATTAATTCAGCAGAATAAGAGATTAACAATAACAAATTAGAAAATAAAATAATAATAAGAATATACTATACTAAAAGTTATGTAAATTTGATACTTCTTTCTCTGTCTTCTAAATTATCTTTTTGTACCTATTTTTAGGTGGCTGTTGACCAAGGGTAACTGAAACAAGGAAAGTTAAACCACGAATAAGGGAAGACTGCTCTATGTAAAATAGTGATATATGATACTACAATTTTGTTGCTTATGAAACAACTAGAATAAAAGGGGAGGGAGAGAGAGAGAGAAAGAGAGACAGAGTGCAACCCCAAATTTAAAAGCAAGATATTATCATATAAGGTTTGGAGAGTGAGGGACCAAGTAATAAAAAAAGTGGACTAAAGTTATTTCCTTATTATGGAAGACAAGATGATAGCATTCAATTTTAATAACATATGAGAACAATTTTAAAAACTACTTAAAAAGTGGAACAACCTGAAAATTAGAGTAGAAATGACCAAACATACCACAAACTAAACTTAATTGGCAAAACACTGGATAAAAGATAAAATCCAAGTATGTGCTGTTTAAAATAGAAATATATAAAGTATAAGGACTCCTAAAGATTGAAAGTAAAACTAAGAGAAAAAAATTACACACAAGATAGTAACTAACAGTAGTGCAATAGCGTAGCTATATTAGTAAGGATAAAATCTATTGAAAGAAAAATATTAACATTATAAATTGTGTTATTAAATAGTATTAAATATTGAAAGTTTTAATTTGTCACAAAGATGTAGCTCTTTCAGATGTATGTGCACCAGATGAAAGTTAACAATATTAAAATATTAAATATCAGACTCATATAAATGTAGATTTTTATAAAATATAAAATCCAAAAAAAAGAAAATTAATATAACCATAGAGAAAATAGTCTATAACATAAGAATTTTCTATGTACATCTCTTGATTGTTGATAGGATAAAATTAAATATTAGCAATGCTGTGGGAGAAGTAACCAACACAATTTGCAAGTTTGCCTTTTAGATAAAAAGAGAGTTCTCACTCATGATTTAGATAAAACATGTTTTTCTAATGTACATAGAAATAATATAAAATAGTCATTAACTAGGCTAAAAAGAAAGCCTCAGCAAATTTTGACAATGTTCATCTCATATATCTGATATAAAATTAAATAAACTTAATATATATCTTGTGATTTAAAGGGAAATAATATAAATTTTTTTAAATGACTTGTTCAGAATGCTTTAAGAAAAAAATACGAAAATGTCAGAAAGGAAATACGAGATATGAAAAAGAATTAATGTATATGCAAAATTGAAAATGCAATAACCTAAATAAATATTTTCATTGAATGAACTCAATCAATAGTGGAGTAAAAACGACAGAAGAGAAAATAGATAAACTTCCCAAATTTGGTAAAAGATCTAAACTAGGTTAAATAATTCTAGCAAACCCCAAATAGGATGGAACCAAAGAAATCTACTTCAAAACACATAATTAAATTCCTGAAAACTAATGACAAAAAGAAGACTTAAAAGGTGCCCGAGAGAAATGAAGCACTATTTTCTAGGGAAAGACCAATGTGAATAATTGTGAATTTTTCATCTGAAACCATAGAAGCGGGAAGGAGCAGCATAACATTTTTGTAGTAGTTAGTGAAAGTATTTGCAAATCATGAATTTTATATCCAGCAAAAGTATTCTTCAGAAGTGAAAACCACATAAAGATAATCTCAAATGAAAGAAAGCTGAGAGAATTTGTTGTTAGCAAATTCCCTTAACAAATGGCCGGCGGGGCGCAGTGTCTCACGCCTGTAATGCCAGCACTTTGGGAGGCCGAGATGGGCGGATCACAAGGTCGGGATTTTGAGACCAAGCCAGCCCAACATGGCGAAACCCGTCTCTACTAAAAATACAAAAAATTAGTCGGGCCTGATGCCAGGCACCTGTAATCCTAGCTACTCGGGAGGCTGAAGCAGGAGAATTGCTTGAACTCGGGAGGCAGAGGTTGCAGGGAGCCGAGATCCCGCCACTGCACTCCAGCCTGGGACAAAAGAGTGAAACTCCGTCTCAAAAACAAACAAACAAAAAAAAAAACCCAAAACAGATTACTTAAAAAGTAAAAATATAATAACAGAAAAAAAATTGGACTTCACAAAGGAAAGGAGAACATAAGGATGGGAGGAAATGGAGAACATGTAACAGACTATCTTACTTTTTATGAGCATTGTATATTATATTTGACAGTTGAAACAAACATACCACCATCTGAAATGACACTCAATGTATATAGAGAAAATATTTAAGGGAATTGTATTTTAAAAGAGTAAAATAGTGTAGGCCATTATGGATTTTCATCATATAGTCAGTCATGCCAGCGTATCTCGTAAAGAGGACATTTGTCTCAATAAATTGAACTGCATTGTTAAAGATTAGCTTCTCCTATGCATGAGGATTTACTCTGGCTTCTTTACTCTATGACTTTGATCAACAAAAAAAATTATATTTACGGTATTTGATTCTGAACTGATATAAGGAAGTCTTTCATTATTGCTGTTTTCCAGTTATCTTCTTAAGTATTTTTTCTTCATTTGAACTTTAAAAATCACTGCATCCAAATTACAAAAAAAAAAAAAAAAAGTCCTCATATTAGCATGCTCATATTAGCATGGGGAGAATCAAATGTTTATTATATTGTTTATTAAATCTCCCCATCTAGAAGATTTATGCATTTCAACTCACTCAGCTCCTCTATCAAATGACTTGAAGTGGGTAATATCCATATAACCAGATCGTGCTTTTACAATATTGCGTGGAATTAGACAATTGTATGAATTGCGGTGCCATTAACTAAACTGGTAATATGGAGAGAATGGAAAATTTATCTTCAGACATAACACTT
The DNA here is from genome assembly GCF_000001405.40 of Homo sapiens. NCBI lineage: Eukaryota > Metazoa > Chordata > Mammalia > Primates > Hominidae > Homo > Homo sapiens. The sequence goes on from NC_000003.12 coordinate 84,242,841, forward strand.
ATCTAATATAATAGAAATGGCAGATGACACAAGTAGAATTGATGGCTCATTTTCCAAATAGTTTGAATCATAAAATGGAATTTTGGTAATTTAAATTATTTAACACAAGCTAATGTAAAGTCTTTGCATATAAATTAAAAACGTAATTAAATGGGATAGAGTACATTTTGTTTGACAGCAGTTTATATAAAAGATGTGGATTCTAATTGACCCCTAGTTTCTTATGAGATAGAGTTTGCTATGCTATTGTCTGCTGATGTTATCATCAGAGCATATTAATACAGAGTATCCTAGTAAAGACAGAATGAGCCTGTGAAGGGTTGGTGATATTTGGAGAATTGCTTCCAGTTATGGGAATTTTAGAGGGTCTCAGTCATATTAGAATGGAATACTTCCTTTCACAAGGGGAGAAAAGGATCAAGAGGGATGTGAAAGTCCTAGCATATAGAGGGAGTCTCAGGAAACAGAGATGTTAAATAGGAGAAGGAAAGCTACATTGGAGCAGTTGGAGTGTGAAAAACGTGAAAGTTAGTTTTATATATTTGAAAACATTATGAGACAGGAAATGTATTGACTTTTCCCATATATTTAGATTTTAAAGGGAACATTTTAGCTGAATAAAAAACAAAAAAGAAATCACCACCGTTTCCAGTCTCGGAGTAGAACTGATTATTATTTTTTAAAGAAAGCTAGTAGCAAATGCAATTTAAAACATTTCTTTTTTTTTTTTTTTTTTTTTTTTGAGATGGTGTCTTGCTCTGTCGCCCAGGCTGGAGTGCAGCGGCGCCATCTCGGCTCACTGCAAACTCTGCCTCCCAGGTTCACGTCATTCTCCTGCCTCAGCCTCCCGAGTAGCTGCGACTACAGGCGCCCGCCACCATGCCCGGCTAATTTTTTGTATTTTCAGTAGAGACAGAGTTTCACCATGAAAACATTTCTTTATTATATTGGTGGAAAACCATTAAAAGTAGTTCAATTCATTTTTCTCAGTAACAGTTCAAATACCCTTTTCTTTAATTTCCAATTACACCTAGCAGCTGCTCTGGAGAGATTCTCTTTATTCTCCCATCATTCTGTTAGGCAATGCTAGCTGTACCTTCCCCCTCTTGTCTCAGCTCTTCATTAGGTCAATGAACTTATTTACTTTCCTCTTAGTTATTCTCGAAGGAATAGGGCAGCCCACGAGTTGATCATGTGAACAAAAAACTTTCTCCATGTTTGCATTGGGAGGTTATTGCAGGAAATGGGATATGTTTAATAACATTCATACACCATTGTCCATGGTACATGAAAAATATAGCTCTTTATAAAAGATACAGGATCTTTATGATAAATTGTACCCTGTGTTATTCCACGTTTTAAGAAAAGTTCTAGAATAACATTTAGTGGCAATATTACAGAAATGACTATTTCTATGCACAGTAAATGACACATTTTCTTCAAACTTTTTCCCCTACAGGAAATAGCATAATTACCATATATATACACATACACACACCTTAAAAATTGAATGAACGCATTTTACTACATACTTCAAAACAGAGCTAGTGCCATGAAGATGTTATGTTTTTTATGGTTTTCAAAGTGTTAATAAAGGGCATCCATATTGTTCCATTTGTTTGTTTCTGAAACATTAGGATTGCATTTTGAATTTTTTTAATGGCATGGTAAACTTAGTTTCTTCTAACATACATTTCAACAGAAATATAAGATATAAATTATGATAGTGTTTATTTGGTAACTAGCATAAGCATAGCAAACAAGTTTTTGCTTTGTTTTGTTTTTACATTTTAAATAAGACATTTTGTTGCTTTATGACTTTGGTAAAGACAAGTTACAATTCTAAATTTTTCTGGATAATTCCTTTAACTGTGTGGCATATATTTGCCAGAAATCCAAGCATATATACCTGTATGCATGTATAATGAGGTATTCATTAATTCCATATTGATACTAGCAACTAAAATGGAGCATCTCATTGCCCATCTAGTTAGTTGCAACGTCTTGTCCACTGTATCTGATAGTGATAGCCTCCACCACATGGCAATTTATACAAATATTAGTCACAGTGAGTGAAATATATACATGTTCTACAATGGCAATTTTACATTTAAAGATCAGAGACTAGATTATAGATAGGAAGCAAGGAATATATTGCAGGATGTTCAAATTAATATTTAGTATATTTGATCCACATGAAATAGTTAAGATAATTTGAAATCTTAAAATATTTTACTTTATTTGGAGAGACATTTTTAAATTAAATATTTATTAATATTTCTCTTTTATTTTTCTCACTTCAGCTAATTAAGTCAGAAACTTAAAAATATATTACATATTTCAAAATACTCTTGAAATCACTTTAGGCATTTTGGAAATTGTGTTCAACAGACTATTTGAGATGTCTAGTAAAATTTAGAATTTCATTTATTTTTTTTAAATTTATAGTGTATAGCATTCCATACAGTAACTTAGATAGTAAGGTAAATCCTTTACTCATAGTTTTGAAATACTAAATATATGAAACCACATGAAGTTTTGAAATAATGTTACAATTTCTATCTTTAGGTCTTTTTAATTTAACTTACACTTTTACACAATTTTCTTAGGAAAAGCAAAAATCAAAAGCTGACATGAAGAAAATATTTCAATGTCTCACAAAAATAAAGCATAGTTGGCACTAGTGGGAGGATATATCCCTATTTATACATCTGCTACAATCATTTAACAAGGAAAATAGATGATAAGCATTGCCCGATGAAATTTTCCAAAAAGAAAATAGTTTTCCTTAGTGATTAAGCTTATTCTGTCAAATTATGATATCGATGTAATGCAATCTGCTTTAAAAATGTATATCCCATTCCTCCTACTCTTCTCTAATTTTAAGCAGGTGATTTTCCAACTTTCTAAAATAGCAGATTATTTGATGCATAGCTAATATGCACATACAACATTTCATAAGAATTTAACATGTAAATAAAAGTGATTTCTTCATCCAGAATTTACAATTTTAGAGGAAAATTCCAGCTGGTAGTTGGAGAGGAGAGGAAGCTTGTCTAATAAGAACAAACTAAATTCTGAAATATGCAGCATTGCCTTTTCTTGTTCTGTCCTCCGTAAGTGTTCTAACATAGCCACAGGCAGGACTCAGTGCCTGGCTCAGGGATCAAAGAAAAATGCAGTGACTGCCTTTCCAAAGTTGCTGCTGCTCAAATTAGTCTGCCTCATGGGGAACCTAAGTACCTTTTCCAGGGGATCTGCTTGAATTCTAAATTTTTTGGTACTTCAGGCATAACTTCAATGTAACCAGAGAGAAAAAAAGTAAAGATATTTGAGATAATTTTTATGTAATAATTTTTTGTAATAATTTTCATAATTAAAATGTACTTGTAAGATTTCTTAAAATATATAATAATCCCTACCATATTTAAAGATATTATCATTAAAGACAATAAATTGTCTATAAAACAAAGAAAGAAATATACTTCATGGGAGACATAAAATTAGAATATTAGGATTTTACACACCTCCTCTGGGGACAAATAATTTATCTTTTACTTTAAATTTCTCACCAAGCAGAGCAACTTATTGTAAGATAATAGGAAAATACATGTGTAACTATTACATACATGTATCTCAGTTATGTGCACGTGTTCAGGCTGACCCTACTGTTGTCCATAACGCAGAAACTTCTCTTATAGTATTCTTACTTAATTCAAAGAGCCAGACACCAACACAGGATACTTTAAGAAAATGTATGTGTAGGGGCTGGGCTAGTCCAAAAGCAATTCAATAGGTGACAAGAAGCAGAAGTTAAAATCATATTGTGACCTATCTCAGGGCCATGAAAGTTGAATGCTACACATCTGAGGAATATCAATGAAAGCTGTTTTTGAATGTTTATAATACTGTTCCTTCATTATTGAGATACGATCATCAATTTTGGTTTCCTGCTTCTGGTCATTCTTCCATCTTTGAAATCTTTTTCCCTTGCTGGTATTCTATACAGCTTATCCATTTCATAACATTTTCTAAATCATTGATTCTGTCATTTTACACTTTGATTTACTCATAGCCCATGACTAAACTATGTTCTCAATCTATCCATCCATTATTGGTAACTGCATGGTTTTTTTATTTTTATTTATTTTTATTTTCTAATACAGTGTTCCCAAAAGTGAGAATTAAGCCGAGTTAGGAATAGAGGTGACGCCTGGAAAGCTTATTGAATGATATTCTCACCTCAGATGTGTACCACTGGTCCAGTTACCTCTAGCTGGGCTTTAGGAGTGGGAAATTTACAGGCAAATTTGGCTTCTAGAGTTACACATCACCAGGCAATACAGTCACATACTCATTGCGAGAGACTGAAGTACGGCAGGCTCACTGGTTACCCTGTTTCTCCTTTCTGAAAGTAGAAGCTTAAAGCTTTTATTCTCTCACTGGACAAAACAAAAAGACGGTATCTGCCTTGGCTTTTTTTTTAGAAGTTGTACAATTTTGAAAATAAATTTGCCAAGAGTTAAGCCATTTGCTAAGACTTATCAAAGAAGAGTCTTGGTCCACTCTGCTAATATTAGTAGGAAGAAGTTAAAGAGAGGTTGCTGTGTTCCAAGTTAGAGAATGAGCTGCTCTGAACTATGGGGAAAAGGAGCATTGAAAATAGTGATTCTGATGATTCTGAGCAATAACAACAAAAATAAAAATGTATGCAGAGCTAGTATTGAAAACTTACCTGGCACTCGTGATTCACCTTTGTAAGATCCCAATTATTATTAAGCAGAAAAAGAAAGAATAGCTACAAAGTAGGATATTTCATTAGAGTTAGGAAACCGCCAGAAAAAAAATGTACACTTCATATTTAATAAAAAATAAACACATTATATAAGCTAATTGTGTTATTTAATGGGATTTAGCCCGATGGAAAGTTTATTAAAAAAAAAAAAAGTGGCCCGGTGCGGTGGCTCACGCCTGTAATTCCAGCACTTTGGGAGGCGGAGGCGGGCGAATCACGAGGCCAGGAGATCGAGACCATCCTGGCTAACACGGTGAAACCCGTCTCTACTAAAAATACAAAAAATTAGCCGGGCGTGGTGGCGGGCCCATGTGGTCCCAGCTACTCCGGAGGCTGACGCAGGAGAATGGCGTGAACCTGGGAGGCGGAGCTTGCAGTGAGCCGAGATCGCACCACTGCACCCCAGCCTGGGCGACAGAGCGAGACTCCGTCTCAAAAAATAATAATAATAATAAATAAATAACAATAAAAAGTAACTACAGACTTGCAGCCCACAGGGGCAGATAAACGATCAAAGAGCCCGATTCAGTTTAGTGGCGTAAGACTCCTGTGAGTGCAGAGGGAAAGTGCATTGTAAAATTCAGGGCTTCAGATTAAAGACTGCGTTCTGGACAGTAACACCTCCAGTCTCCTACCCCTGTGATTTTCAGAACTCGGGGAGCCAAACACTTACCTTCTTAGCAGGATACGAGGGAATCCTCTGAGGACATGGACTTGCTTAAAATAAAATACATACTGATAATGACATTTGTGGGACAGGTAAATCTAGTTCTATGACCCAGGCATGGAAGAATAAGAAAGGTGGTAGGAGAAAGAATTGAAGCTTGAAAATGAAAGAGCCACAACATGAAAATTAAAGATAAAGTAGAAGATTAAATGTAAGTGAAGGGAATAATGCTGCTGCTATTAACAGCAAAGTCCTGATACTACACAGGGATAAAGAGGCAAGTAGCAAATCAGAAGCAAGTTTACTAGTATTTCAGGTTCATTTTATTTGAAAATATTTTATTTGTGTACAAAATAGTCTAGGACCGCCCCAGAATCATGTTTGAAATCTTAAAATAATAGAAAATATTGTGAAGTACCTACACAGAGATTGAGAGATTAGCATTTCTATAACTGAAAATAATTTTATTTTATTTATTTTATTATTTTTTGAGACAGAGTCTCGCTCTGTCGCCCAGGCTGGAGTGCAGTGGCGCGATCTCGGCTCACTGCAAGCTACGCCTCCCGGGTTCACGCTATTCTCTTGCCTCAGCCTTTCGAGTAGCTGGGACTACAGGCGCCCGCCACCACCTTCGGCTAATTTTTTTTTTTTTTTTTTTTTTTTTTTTTTTTAGTAGAGACAGAGTTTCACCGTGTTAGCCAGGATGGTCTCGATCTCCTGACCTCGTGATCCACCTGTCTTGGCCTTCCAAAGTGCTGGGATTACAGGCGTGAGCCAGCGTCCCCAACCTGAAAATAATTTTAAAAGTCTTAATTGACCATTCTGTACTATATTTCTTTTTCTTTTACTTTAATTGAATTTTAAGTTCTCGGATACATGTGCAGGACATGCGGGTTTGTTACACAGGTAAACTTGTGCCATGGTGATTCATCACCTAGGTATTAAGCCCTTCATACATTAGCTATTTATCCTGATGCTCTCCCTCCTCCCGCACCCCCTAACAGGCCCCCGTGTGTATCGCTCCCCTCCCTGTGTCCACGTGTTCTCATTGTTCAGCTCCCAGTTATAAATGAGGACATGTGGTGTTTGGTTTTCTGTTCCTGCGTTAGTTTGCTGAGGATAATGGCTTCCAGCTCCATCCATCTCCCTGCCAAGGACATGACTTTGTTCCTTTTTATGGCTGCATAGTATTCCATGGCATATATATACCACATTTTTTATGTAGTCTATCATTGATGGGCATTTGGGTTGATTCCATGTCTTTGCTATTGTAAAAGTGCTGCAAGTGAACATATGTATATGTGCATGTTTATAATAGAATGATTTACATTCCTTTGGGTGTGTACCCAGTAATAGGCTTGCTGGGTCAAATGGTATTTCTGGTTCTAGGCATTTGAGGAATTACTACACTGTCTTCCACAATGGTTGAACTAATTTACATTCCAACCAACAGTGTAAAAGAGTCCTGTTTCTCTGCAGCCTTGATAAAATTTGTTGTTTCTTGACTTTTTAGTAACTGCCATTCTGACTTCTGTGAGATGGTATATCATTGTGGTTTTGATTTGTATTTCTCTAATGATCAGTGATGTTGAGTTTTTTTCATATGTTTGTGAGCATAAACGTCGTCTTTTGAGAAGTGTCTGTTTATGCCCTTTGACCACTTTGTAATGGAGTTGTTTTTTCTTGTAAATTTGTTTATATTCCTTATAGGTTCTGAATATTAGACCTTTGTCAGATGGACAGATTGCAAAATTTTTCTTCTATTATGTAGGTTGTCTGTTCACTCTGATGACAATTTCTTTTGCTGTGCAGAAACTTTTTAGTTTAATTAGATCCCATTTGTTTTGGGATCTAATTAGATCCCATTCTTTTGCTGTGCAGAAATTTTTTAGTTTAATTAGATCCCAATTTTTGCTTTGTTGCAATTGCTTTTTACAGTTTTATCATGAAATCTTTGCCCTTGCTATGTCCTGAATGGTATTGCGTAGATTTTCTTCTAGGCTTTTTATAGTTTTGGGTTTTACATCTATGTCTTTAATCCATCTTGAGTTAATTTTTGTATAAGGTGTAAGGAAGGGATCTAGTTTCAATTTTTGGCTTATGCTAGCCAGTTCTCCCATCAACATTTATTAAATAGGGAATCCTTTCCCTATTGCTTATTTTGTTAGGTGTGTAGAAGATCAGATGGTTGTAGATGTGAGGTCTTACTTCTGAAATTTTTGTTCTGTTCCATTGGTCTATGTGTTGGTTTTTGTACCACTTCTATGCTATGTTGGTTACTGTAGTCTTGTAGTGTAGTTTGAAGGTAGCGTGATGCTTCTAGCTTTGTTCTTTTTGCTTAGGAATGTCTTGGCTGTATGGGCTCTTTTTTGGTTCCTCTGTACTATATTTCTAAGATACCACTAAATTTATATTAATATACCTGTACTCTTGGTCCTTCTATGTTTTCTGTTCAATTAGCCCTAATAAAGAAATACAAATTTTTAATAGATATTGAGTCTATTACGTTTAATCTTGAAATCTCCTCCCCCAGCTTCCATCTATGCAGTGTAAACTGTGTTTTAAGTGTGTCAAGAACCACAACAAGTTTAAGAAGGTAGAGAGAAGGATGAGAAAGAATTTAAGTTGCAAATGCATACTTCACCTGTAAGTAATTATGTGTATCATTAATCCCTTATTATATGTCAATACATATGATCAAATATACATTAAAAGAAAATATAAAATAGGGTTTAAGACACCACTTGGTCTGGTGTCTGCTTTCAAATCCTGACTGTCTTTCTATCTTGAGTGAGATACTTGTCCTTCTAGCATGCTTTGTCTTTAAATGGTGATAATAATGGGGACTATTTCAGTGTTTTATGAGGATTAAGTAAATAATGTTTGTAATGCTCTTAGAATGATGTTTATGACAAAGCACTGTGTGTTTTTTCAAGAAATAAGTACTTTAAAATTAAACGTTATATGCAAATTAAAACATAAAATATGTATTAAAATGGACAGAATAATTTTCACATACAATACCAAGAAGCCATATGTGCATATAAATTTTCTTCTATATATAAAATATGGCCTTTCTTTGTTAATAACAATCAGATAATAAAGTTTAAATAGCCCAGATAGTTTTGCTGATTTTTATGTTCATAATTATTTGAAATTATTCTACACTAAAATGTATGATAAAAAAGGAAAGTTAATTTTTATAGTTTGTTAATATTTATTATGAGTTATAGGGTATTTACATGTACTTTGCAGTATGTCAGAAATCTATAACTTGTAGGACTTAGAAGTCAAACTTTGTGCTTTATAATTGTAAATGCTATATAATACAATAAATATACAATAACAACTTTCCTTCTTTAATTGTCATTTATGATATTTATAACTGAGACTGAAACTTAATTTGGGTCGTTACTTTTCCTAAAACTTGTATATTAGCTAAAAGTCATTATAATATTCCAATTACTTTCCCTTTATCTTGTTTTGATTTAAATAATTTTCAAATTATGTATTTTGGTGTAATTAGAGTCTCCACATACATTTTAATCATTCTAGTCATGCATAAAAATTTTAAAAATTATGTAGACTTGTAATGATCTGTGAATTCTCATATTCCAAAACTCTATCTTACATGTTCCTCATTATTATTTACGATAAACAATAATTAGGAAGAAAAATGTCTTTATTGTATATCCATAAATGCAAAGCACATATGAGACAAAATACAAAAGAATATATATTAGTAAAATTGTTACCTATCTGAATACTTTCAGATATTCATAAAAGGACATTATTTTGTGCATGGCAATAATTAAATACCTGTATTAGTATAAAACTTCCAAGAATATACATTTTTTTAATCAGGAAAGGCTATTTCACATTGTTTTTACCTCCATTTGTAAGGAGCGCATTTTGAAATCTTAAGTATAGTAATATTCACACTGTTAAATTTATATATTTAACTCATAAAAATGATTGAAATCATCCTCTGCCAAATATTTAAGGTCTCTACGCTCACTTCAATCACATAGCAGGAAAGAATATTTACTGAAAGAAATAAAGTTCAGAATATGCTCATATAGTTTTGAAAATCATTGCAGCATTCATTTCTTATCCTCCTCT